>NC_000002.12:32256129-32408879 GCF_000001405.40 Homo sapiens | reverse complement strand
AGCTACTTACAAATCCTCAAATGAGGCAATTAAAAATTTTGAACTGGAAAGATATTTTCTCTTACCACAGCTACTGTTTAATACATAAAGACAATTTTTACACCCCTAAATGAAGTGCTATATGTAGTCGACAAAAATACATGATAATTTTCAAGACACTATTAGCTAAAGTAAACATGATTACAGTATCTTTAAAATGTGTGAAAAATCAAACAGGCATAGATGAAAAGAATAAAGGTAGAAAAAGGGTAAGAAAATTGGCCAAATACGAGTATTGTAACTGTAAAAACATGTACTGAGATCCTTAGACCCAGGGAAAATAACAAAACTATAGCACACAAAGGAAAGGTTCCAGTGACAATCAAAAAAAACTTAACATAGCAAACACTTTACAAAGGAAAAACTGAAGCCCACAGTTTAAGTAATTTAACAAGACCAAGGAGTTATTTTTTGAAAGAGTTCAAAAACTTGGCCGGGCGCAGTGGCTCACCTCTGTAATCCCAGCACTTTGGGAGGCTGAGGCAAGTGGATCACCTGAGGTCAGCAGCTCGAGACCAGCCTGGCCACAGAGGGACACTCCGTCTCAAAAAAACAAAAGAAAGAGCCAGGTCTGGCCGGGCACGGTGGCTCACGCCTGTAATCCTAGCACTTTAGGAGGCCAAGGTGGGCAGATCACCTGAGGTCAGGAGTTCAAGATGAGCCTGGCCAACATGGTGAAACCCCATCTCTACTAAAGATACAAAAATTAGTCAGGTGTGGTGGCAGGCACCTATAATCCCAGCTACTCACGAGGCTGAGGCAAGAGAATCCCTTGAACTCGGGAGGCGGATGTTGCAGTGAGCTGAGATCACACCACTGCACTCCAGCCTGGGCAACAGAGCAAGACTCTGTCTCAAAAAAAAAAGAAAGAAAGAAACAAAGAAAGAAAATGTAGTAGTAACCTCTTATGTTTTTGCAAAAGAACAAAATAGGAAAAGAGCATTAGCTTCCTCAGTCTATGTTTTTTTAAAAGAAAAAAAAACAATTTTTAACTTCTCTAGAACGAATTACACATTTGCACATTTTTAAGGGCATTTTCCTGCCTTATTTGGTGATTTTTTTTGTTCATTGCTAAGAACTGCTTCAAAAGACTGCTAAAGATTAACCCAAAATTGTCCAGTGTTCCATTTAGTGCCTTTCAAAAAAATCTGATGATAAAATTTAAAGAATATTTACTACCAAATGTTAACTATAATTTTTTTGAACTGTACTATACAAAACCATTCCTCTTCTAAAAAGATTTAAGTTATATATGTCCATAGTACACAGCATCTAACATTAAACAATAGCCACAATTTAATAATGGTCACTTTTTAAAAATACTGGGTACTTCCCAGGCACTACACTTTATATGAACTTATCTTATCTAAATCTTTTTTTTTTTTTTTTTTTTTTGAGACAGAGTTTCTCTCTTGTTGCCCAGGCTGGAGTGCAATGGCGCAATCTCAGCTCGCTGCAATCTCCGCCTCCCGGGTTCAAACGATTCTCCTGCCTCAGCCTCCTGAGTAACTGGGATAGGCATGCGCCACCACGCCTGGCTAATTGTTTTTTATTTTTAGTAGAAACGGGGTTTCACCATGTTGGCCAGGCTGGTCTCGAACTCCTGATCTCAGGTGATCCACCCGCTGTGGCCTCCCAAAGTGCTAGGATTACCGACGTAAGCCACCAAGCCTGGCCTAATTCTTAAAACTCTAAATAACAGACTTTAATACCACCATGCTATATATCAGGAAATGCAATCAGACTATATTAAGTAGAAGAGTTAGGATTTAAATTCTGACATAGTAAAACTATTTTGAAACATACTATTAGCTTTTCCTACAAAATAACATTAAAATACGAAGTATATTATTTTGCCCTAGTATCTTAAAAGCTAGTAAGGCAGCATTTACTTGATGTTTTAATGTCTATAATTTCACACATTAAAATGTAGTTCTTTATTCACCTACATGAATAAAGAGCTTTAAACACTACTTTTAGTTAACAGAATACATTATACAAATAAAAACATTTAATTACCTGACATATGTGACAAAACTTTAACGTAACTATCCACTGTAATTCCTTTGGCTCAAATAGGTACCATTTAAATTTTAAATATGGAACACTATGTACATACTACTAATTTGAGATCTCTGACACACAATATTTCAGTCTTCTGTGTATACTAGCAAAAATTTAGAGTTAGCATTAACTAAGAAATTCAGAATTAAGTGGTAGTTAGCTGTATGCACAACTGTGTAAAGAATTTTTTAAATACATTATCTAATACTTTTTACATACCTGTCACAGAATCTGATCTGGAATGCTCTTCACTGTCTGAATCCTCCAGTAAATCATCACTTAAATCAAAAAACAAAGTAAACAATTTGAATTTCAAAAAAAGTATACATCATATGAGAAAGCAAAGAAAAAAGAACAGTTGGTTTTGTGGGTTTTTTTGAGACAGGGTCTCAGTCTGTCATCCAGGCTGGAGTACAGTGGCAGGAACACAGCTCACTGCAGCCCTGACCTCCTCCTGGCCTCAACCAATCCTCCTGCCTCAGCCTCCCGTGTAGGTGGGACCACAGGCACACGCCACCATGCCCAGCTACTTTTTTCTTTTAATTTTTGCAGAGACGGGGTCTCACCATGTTGCCCAGGCTGGTCTTGAACCCTTGGGCTTAAGCAATCTTCCCACCTCTACCTCTCAAAGTCCTGGGATTATACGCATGAGCCACTATGCCTGGCCTGAAAGTACAGTGTTAAAATCACTACTACACATCTCAACCATATAATTAAAATAGGCTTAAATGATATATAAAGAGTAGTTTGATATCATAACTGATTAACAACACTGACAAAAATCTTCTTAAATCATTAAATAAATGCCTAACTGAAATAGGGTATGGAAACCTCCAAGAATCCATAATAACATTTGTAGGAATTTGAAGACTACTGTGTGACTAAGGACAGTTTGGGCAAACAAAAATATAAAAGACAGCAGCAACTAATAAAATCAAGCACCAGCTTGCAGTAGTAAAGCATTAAGAACTATTCTATTACTGAATTCAGGACAGCCTAAAACCAAACATAATAGTTGTATAAGCAAGTGTGTATGTTTGTGTACTCACATGTACATGCAATTTTATTTTTGTTCTGTATTTTGTTTTGGAGAGGCTAAGAACTCCTTTACATATAGGAAAACTATGACAACTCAGAAGATGGGGGTCATCAAGACAAGACAAAGTCTTGTCTCTATCTCCTGACCTTGTGATCCTCCCGCCTCGGTCTCCCAAAGTGCTGGGATTACAAACATAAGCCACCGCACCTGGCCTACGATGTTATTTTATACAGAATATGAAGTGGTATTCCGCACTGAAAATGCTTAAGGATATTACTGCACTCCAAGGCAATGTTTGAAATATTTTGCGGCGGCTGGGGGAAATTCACTTATATATTTTTGAAAAAGTTTCTCTGTTTTAGTTTTTTCAGGTGATAACAGTTGCCCATAAACCAATTTAATGCTGTAATTTACAAAAGCAAAAAATGCAAAAAAAGTTTAAAATCAGCTGCTAATTCATTAGCCTAATTGGCTGGTTTCAGAGAAACAGAGTAAGTGTAAAAATGAATCCCAAGAAGAAATATTAATAATTGGGAATTATCAAGAATGAAGAAGTCCAAACCAAGAAAACAGGTTTTAAGTATAGAATGGCTGCCCATTAAAGAAAAATAAATAACCAAGTATTAACCTGCTGTACTAAGATGAACAATAAAATTAAGTAGTAGTATGTTTTAAAGGAATTCAGGTGTCTTGATATTTCAAAGACAGTTGCCAGATAAAAGCCTTAAATTAGCAAAGAATGTTTTATTCTGAAAGTTCTCAAAAATATAATCAGGCAACAGGCACAGTGACTCACACCTGTAATCCCAGCACTTTGGGAGGACAAGGAGGGAGGACTGCTTGAGCCCAGGAATTCGAGACCAGCCTGGGCAACACAGTGAGACCCCATCTCCACAAAAAAATAAAAAATTAGCTGGGCATGGTGGTACATGCCTTTAGTCCCAGCTACTTAGAAGGCTGAGGTAGAAGGATGACTTGAGCCCAGGAGGTAAAGGGTGCAGTGAGCCGTGAGCCCGGGTGACAGAGCAAGACCTTGTTTCAAGAGAAAAAAAAAAATTATATATATATATTTGTAAAATCACATTCTTTTAAAATATTTTGTGACAAAAACATTTTATGGCTAAGGCCAGATGCAGTGGCTCACACCTATAATCCCAGCACTTTTGGAGGCTGAAGCAGGCACATCACGTGAGGCCCGGAGTTTGAGACCAGCCTGGCCAACATGGTGAAACCCGTCTCTACTAAAAATACAAAATTTACCCAGGCATGGTGGCACGGGTCAGTCCCAGCTACTCAGGAGACTGAGGCACAAGAATCACTTGAACCTGGGAGGCAGAGATTGCAGTGAACCAGGATCGCACCACTGCACTCCAGCATGGGCGACAGAGCAAGACTCTCTCAAAAAAAAAGAAAAAAAATTATATGAATAAAATAACTAAATTGTACACTTACATGAATTGTATGGTTTGAAAATTACACTTCAATAAAACTTTTTAAAAAATCACATGCGGCTGGGCGTGGTGCTCACGCCTGTAATCCCAGCACTCTGGGAGGCCAAGGCAGGTGGATCATCTGAGGTCCGGAGTTCGAGAACAGCCTGGCCAACATGGAGAAACCCTTTCTCTACTAAAAATACAAAAAATTAGCCAGGAGGGGTCGTGGGCACCTGTAGTCCCAGCTACTCAAGGAGGCTAAGGCAGAAAAATCATTTGAACCTGGGAGGCAGAGGTTGCTGTGAGCCAAGATTGCGCCACTGCACTCTAACCTGGGCGACAGGGTGAGACTCTGTCTCCAAAAAAAAAAAAAAAACACACACACATTTTAAAAAGAAACTAGAATACATATAAATGTTACCATAATCCCATAGTGTGATTATGACTACTCTATATTTCATCAATTTCCACTCCTGCATTTTCCCATTTTCCTGCAATAAGCATGCACTATTTATATAATAGGCACTGTATTTACTAAAGCCTTCTACATTTTGCAAAACCTTTTACAAAGCAATAAACATGCAAAATAAATATTATGGTTAAAGTAAAAATGTTTAGTTAAGATTATATGTGTTTCTGAAAAACAGACATACTAATATTGTAACAGTACCTTGGTTTACAGCAATCCCATAAACAATTTCATTTACATTCAAGGAATTTTTACCAACTTGACCTGATATACAAATGACAAGTGAATCATCTAGAAGAAATCTTAATTCATTAAAATTAAATGTATTAGCATATCTTCTTCCTTAATTCAGAAGACAAATATAGTCTTCTAAGAAAAAATTGTCAAAAACAATTCCTTAGTCCTTCAATGTAAATAAGAAATAAAAACAAATTTTACAAAAACTATTCTAAGCAAACTATATTGCTAATTACTTTAAACTTCTTGGATAAGCTTAGATTTTTCCAATTAATGTATTATTCTTCAAGCTAATGAAACCCACATAGTATATTTTATAACCAAACATATTGGATCTTGTGTCACATAAAGTGAGAGGTAGTGTGGCTCATTATATTCACTATCAATTCCAACAGGACTGCTCCTACTTCTTGGGGAGGGGAAGTGAAGAGAGGGGGCTTAAGGTTAGGGATGAAGTTTCACCTCTTCAGCTTCCTCCTACCACATCAACTTAATGTTTTTGTATGATTTGTTTGAGACTTTCTTCAGAGAAAATTGACCTTCGACCCTAGATTGTGAATTTCTTAAAAGCAAGTAGAGATTACCTCAACTCAAGCACATTACCCCATATAATGTTGAGAAGTATTTCCACTAATAATACAGAATACATGTTTATCTAAAATGCAGATTTTACCTAGGAGGGTGTGACTATATGTGTATGGGTGTATGTAATCCTAGAAGTATATTTTGATTCCATTTTTAATCCCCAAATTACAAAACTTCAAGACAAAGTTCAAATTAAAGTAAGTGCCTAGAAGGACATATAAATTTCATTATCTTCTATTACTTTTCCACTAACTTCTAAGAAATCACAGAAATTAAGCATGCTTAATATCTAGTCCTATTGGCAAAATATGGTCAGAAACTCAGACAACAGTTAAGCTGCTTTCCCATTAAGCTTTCACAGAGATTTATATTAATAGAACAACCACAAGGCTTTAATCAACATGTTATTACCAAGAGGAACTAGACAGAAGTAACACATATATTGTAAATTTTCCACTAATTCCATTAATGAAATAATTTCCATTAATAAAACTTTACATTATTCCTTAATGAAAGGACATCCCACCAAAGGGGTTGTGAAGTAAAATGATAAATCACTGACTACAGAGTAACACCCATCACATGTCAGTAACATAAGGAGCCCCTGGAAGTGAAATGGCAGATATTCTCAGTCTATCAAGACATCTGATCACAGTTAAATAGCTCCATTTCACATGGCTGCCTACACAATCTTCTTCCCCTCCACCTACAGAATCTTACTAGCCCAGTTCAGTCAAAACCACAGTGGTTCTTAGGAAACAAGTGGGTGAAAGAGGGTGATACTTTGACTCTCCCACCCCACCACAAAAATCAGGAATCTCTCAGAGAAGTTGAGTGAAGGAGAATCCAGAACAGCAATTTTACCAAAATATTTCTATAGCAATAATTATGGTATCTCAACTCACTGCTGACTACTGGTACACTGTTTTAAACAATTAGATCCTCTTGCCTCACCTCAGGTCATCCCATTATTATTATTCATTAGCACTGCCATAATTTGAGGTGCTAATGAAAAAACGGAAACTGAAATCATCTAGTTCGAATGCTCTATGAAAAGATTTAGCAGAAGGTGAAACTACAATAGAATTTCATTTCATTATTTAGACTTTCCAATGTTGACTTTTCATCATCTATTGTTCAATGTGGCAATTATTTCCAATTGACATAGATTGTGATAGAAAGTTAAGCATATTTTATAAACTACGGTGTTTCTGAATGAAGATTTTTCTTCAAGAATCACAGATTTCAGATTTCTAACCAAACATTTACTCTCTGATCTCTTAACTGCGTAACTTTTTTTTCCTCCTCTTTAATTATTAGAACTATGAGAATATAAAATTTAGGAAAACATGTAACATCTATTAAATACTACTAAAACAAACTCACATACCTATCTCCTTCCAATTTTGGTATATCTGAGCAACTAGAGGAGTCCTCCAGCCACGCCAAAGTTGGTCTCCTTGAATCAACTCCTGAGCTTGGGTCTCCTGATAGAATAAGCTGTTGTACAATTGCTGGATCATAGGCATTAATTTCAAACTTTAAGTGCACCTAAACAAATGAAAAGCCTAAGTTTACAACTGATCTTTTTTCAATTACTAATTTGTTACTTCAAAATTCAAACATACCTTCATAAGTTTGGAAACATCCCATATGCAGATCTTTCCTCGTTTAGTTGCAGCAGCTAGAAAATGAGGGCAGCTCCCCGACCCAAAGCAAGATATTCTGTCAGTTCCATCCGTACAAGGAAACTGTGCAGGACTTGTTGCAAGAGTGACTGACAATGGCACATTCTGTGTGTGCTCACCTTTCACAAATGGGCAGTTTGGGGAATGTCTTTCGTGTTCAGACCTTTGCATAGATTTAGAAAGGAAAAGTTTACTAAAAATAAAGCAATTCAGTTTGTACATTAAAACAGAACTCCAGGATCATCATCTTTTTTTAACTGAACTTAAAGTATTCATCATTAAAGACTTAATATAACCAAATCATTCAGTTTTATGAAGATCACTCTAACATGTTCAACCGTTTACAAATTCACACATTCAATATTCCAAACATTCAACAATAGCAGTTGTTACTCACTTTAACTGATTATAAAGTCAATCTCAGAAAAAACTGAAAAACCAATACAATGCTATATTACATACTACAAAATTGTTTAAACTCCTGTTATTTCCTCACACTGGTTTCCTACAGCTTTGAATGATTAACTACTATGTTTCAATTTAAAATTCTCCATATCTATCAGGGGCCACAACTATAAATGATATACAGCTGAAACTCGATAAATGCCACTCATAACACAAAAAGTTATTTTACTAAATATTTTACTAAATTATTTTACTAAAAAGTTTTTTAGTAAAGATCTGAAGGCAGCCGGGTGCGGTGGCTCATGCCTGTAATCCCAACACTTTGGGAGGCTGAGGCGGGTGGATCATGAGGTCAGGAGTTCGACGCCAGCCTGACCAACACGGTGAAACCCCGTCTCTACTAAAAATACGAAAATTAGCTGGGCATGGTGGTGGGCGCCCGTAATCCCAGCTACTCAGGAGGCTGAGGCAGAAGAATTGCTTGAACCCAGGAGGCGGAGGCTGCAGTGAGCCGAGATCGCGCCACTGCACTCCAGCCTGGGCAACGGAGTGAGACTCCACCTCAAAAAAAAAAAAAAAAAAAAGATCTGAAAGCAGAAAGATCTCTAGTATGAATAAAATAATATATATTAAGAACACAGAAATATACCTTATGTATTCACTATAGGATCAAATCAGACAAATAACTTTTAAATAAAATTTATTTCCTAAGAGCCTTAGGAATGTAAAGTTCATAAATTATACACTACTTCTTTCAAATAAATGCTTACTGAGCGAGAAGAAATGTTAAATTAAAAACATAACAAGTTTAAGAAATATAAAATACAGGCTGGGCACCGTGGCTCACACCTGTAATCCCAGCACTTCGGGGGGCCAAGGTGGTTGGATCCTTGAGGCCAGAAGATTGAGACCAGCCTAGGCAACATAGTGAGACCTCATTGCTACAAAAAATAAAAATAAAAATAATTAGCTGGGTGTGGTAGCATGTGCCTGTATTCCCAGCTACTCGGGAGACTCAGGTAGGAAGATCCCTCGAGCCTGGGTGTTCAAGGCTGCAGTGAGCTACGATCGTGCCACTGCACTCCAGCCTGAGCAACAGAGCAAGACCCTGTCTCTAAAAAATAAAAAATTTAAAAATTTAAATTAAAATATAAAAATAAAATACTAGGACCTCATATCAAGACTGGTATAATGACTTTAAGAATTATCTCAAATATTGTAAGCAGGATCAACTTAGCACCTATCTGCTCAACTTTATGATTCCTTTATATTTCTTTCTGGTTATTCCTTATTTTTATTTCTATTAGCTATAATTATAAGGCATTAGAAATGTCAGGATCCTGCTACCAAAACAAGAACCCATGAGCCAGGCGTGATGGTAAAGCATATAGTCCCAGTTAGTCAGGAGGCTGAGGCAGGAGGACTGCTTAAGCCCAAGAATATGAGGCTGCAGTAAGCTATGATCACACCTGTGTATAGCCATTGCACTTCAGCCTGGACAATATAGCAAGACCCCGTATCTAAAAAATAAAATAGGCTGGGCGTGGTGGCTCACGCCTGTAATCCCACCACTTTGGGAGGCTGAGATGGGTGCATCACTTGAGGTCAGGAGTTCCAGACCAGCCTGGCCAACATGGGGAAACCCCATCTCTACTAAAAATACATATATTAGCTAGGCATTGTGGCGCACACCTGTAGTCCCAGCTACTTGGGAAACTGAGGCACGAGACTCTCTTGAACCTGGGAGGCAAGGGTTGCAGTGAACCAAGATCGCGCCACTGCACTCCAGCCTGGGCAACAAAGTAAGACTGTGTCTCCAAAAAAATAAATAAATAAATAAATAAAATTTTAAAAATAAATGTTTCTTAAAGAACCATTGTTTTTAAACTCATTGTTTTATTTCCATGGCAAAGAAAGAACTTTACACATAAAACATGCTACTCCTTAAAATGTATGTATTTCTTTTTACAATGCACCTACAACTTACATATATAAATCCATCTATAAATCCTGGGCAATTTTTAATATGTAGATGTCTTTCCTAAATCCTTTTACAGTGCACTTCCAAGCAAATGACATTTGGGCCAGGTTCCCTCCCAGCTAAATCTAGCGTACCTTACCCCTTTCCGTCTCTCTCTCTTTCCTGAGTTTTAACTTTTTCAATAAAATTTTATTTATATAAGTTACACGCGGCTATATAAAATAAAGCTAAAGACCCACATCAATTTTAAAATCTAATCCCAATAATTTCCAATCCCACCTCCAGGAAACCACCATTATAAATTTAAGTGATACATTTCTAAAATATTTTTTAAGTTTACATACATAAATGTACATATAGAAAATACATGATGTGGAAGTATGTATGAAAAAAAATTTTAAAAATAAAATACAGGGTCTTAAATTGTTAAACAATTGGTGTCACTGTACATGACACATATACATTTTATCATGTATCCAATCATCTACCATTCTATTAACACGAAAGATTTCTTGATACAGTAACATATCTGAAAGTTACTGAGGGTGATTAACAGAGATCTTACTGTTCATTCCCCTTAACTGTTGGACCACAGTCTATTATATGAACATAGCACATTCTATTTGGCTATTCCCCTCCTGATTGGCATTTAAAAGGATTCCGATTTTTAACTGCAGTGACCATCCACTTTATGCCTCTGTGCCTACAAGAGCAATTAACTCCCTAGGGTACGTAAATAGAAGTGGAATTGCTAGTTACTAGGGTATGGTCCATTTTTTATGTTTTTAACTTCAACCTCCCTCCAAAGTAACTCTCTATCAACTCGCACAGTCAAAATATGAGTCCCATTCGCCCTTTCAAATTTTTCCTTTCCCCTTTACAATTCAGAAGGTGCCTAGGTTCCCCAGCCTCCATCAATCCTCTTCCCTCCTACCCATTTGGAAGACTTGCCCCAGGTCTTAAGAGACCAAATCAACTTCTTGAGTGTTTGAGGAATCCCAAATGCTGGTGCAAAGAAGAGGTAGACTCCCTGAATCCCTGGCCATGTCAAGAAAACATGGGTTTTCAGTATCCCAAGTTAGAAATTTTAATCAACTTTCCATAGAAAATATTTACAAAGAAAATAATATTTGATAATACTGTATAACTTTTCAGGTATAGGTTAAATAACTTTTTGAGGATTGGCATAGGGACCTAAAAAATATATACTAAAATGGTGTATATATGTGTGTGTGTGTGTGTGTGTACATATATATGTGTGTGTGTATATATATATACACATATATGTGTGTGTGTGTGTATATATATACATATATATATATACACACATATATACACACACACACACACACACACACACACACAGCCTTTACGGGGAAAGACAATTCCAAACAGAAACTCAACTTAAACTGAAAATTGCTCATGCAACAGGTCCCCCTCTTATCCACAGCTTCACTCTTTTTTTTTGAGATGGAGTTTCACTCTTGTTGCCCAAGCTTGAGTGCAATGGTACAATCTCGGCTCACTGCAACCTCCGCCTCCCCAGTTCAAGTGATTCTCCTGCCTCACCCTCCCGAGTAGCTGGAATTACAGGTGCACACCACCACGCCCAGATAATTTATTGTATCTTTAGCAGAGACGGGGTTTCACCATGTTAGCCAGGCTAGTCTTGAACTCTTGACCTCAGGTGATCCACCCGCCTCGGCCTCCCAAAGTGCTGGGATTATAGGCGTGAGCCACCATGCCTGGCCCACAGCTTCACTCTCTATGGTTTCAGTTACCCATGGTCAACCATGGTCCCAAAATAGATGAGTACAGTACAGTAAGATATTTGGAGAGAGAGAAACACAGACAGACTGACCACAGTCACAGAACTTTTATTACAGTATATTGTTAAAATTGTTCAATTTTAGGCCGGGCGCAGTGGCTCACGCCTGTAATCCCAACACTTCGGAAGGCTGAGGTGGGTGGATCACCTGAGCTCAGGAGTTCGAGACCAACCTGGCAAACATGGCGAAACCCCGTCTCTACTAAAAACACAAAAATCAGCCGGGTGTGGTGGCCCACGCACACCTGTACTCCCAGCTACTCGGGAGGCTGAGGCAGGAGAATCGCCTGAACCCGGGAGGTAGAGGTTGCAGTGAGCCGAGATCGCGCCACTGCACTCCAGTCTGGGCAACAGAGCAAGACTCCATCTGAAGGGAAAAAAAATGTTCAATTTTATTAGTTATTGTTATTAATCTCTTTCTGTGCTTAATTTATGAATTATACTTTATCATAGGTTATGGATGTATAGGGAAAAAAATATAGTATGTATATGGTTCAGTACTATCTGCTGTTTCAGGTATCCAATGGGTCCTGGAATGCATGCCCTGCAAATAAGGGGGACTACTGTATTCAACTCTCTGCCTGCAGATAGATACAACTTGAATTTTTCATACAGTATTTTCCAATCTGAACTCCATAGGTACACTGCAATACGTTTTAGCAAGTTTGCCCCATGCACATCAGCTGATTTAACATTCAGAGACTTCAAACTAATTTTCATACAAAATAAGCAACATATCCTAAAACCAAACCCTGGCTCTATCACTAGCCATATGCCCTTCAGCAAATTTTATTCTCTTCATTTTAAAATGGGATAGTAACTCCTATCTCATAGAGTGACTGTAAAGGTTAAACTGGAAAATATTCATAGTTCCCTCCTATAAAATGGAGATTACAATAGTACCTACTTCACAGGGAAACATGAGAATTAAATGATTTAAAAATACATAAAGTATTCAGAATGGTACCTAGTATACCATCTTATATAAATATTTGCTATAATAATATACTATTATTTCTATTAATAAGACCTCAGAATAGTTATTTGTAAAAATGAAGTTTCAATACATGATCTCTAATGTTTAACCAGGTTCTAAAATTTCATGCACTAAAATTCAGAGACATCAAAGACTCCCTAAAATTACTTCAAAATTAGAAATGTATACTATAAGGCTCTCTCCATGGATTCCCTACTGACAACATGCTCTCAACAGACCAAGATTCAACTGCTGAAGCTCACGCTGGAGTTCACTTTACCATAGCTTTCCGGTTTTCGTTAGAGCGTGGTTCTACTGTTTGGTACTTCCCTTGTGTACAATTTTTAGAAAGTCAAACTTACAGACACTGTATGCCAAGTGGTGTGCCAGAGTATAGACAGGGCTAGCTCATTCTCAGGACAATGACAAAAATATAGGTGGCAAAAAGGCAAAAAATTATATCATAAGCAGAAAAGTAAAATTTAGAAGCATTATTTACACGACTGACTTAGCCTATTATGCCCAGAAACATCAAGACTCACCAAGGTTCATCAGTAGGTTCCCAACAAACGAGGCATACACTACAAGTAAAACACATGGCTCTATCATCTCCAGATGAGGCAGGCTGCAAAATTATAAAGAAAAGAGACAGAAAAGGTAAATCATTATTAAAATAGCTTTATAATAAAAGTTATTTTTAAAAGTTCATAATTTTAAGTAAAATTCTATACTGAAAATAAGAAAATTAGCCTATAATATTAGGTCCAACAATACACTGAAACCTCCAAATATTTATTAATTGCCTGCATTATTTGAAAATTCAGAAAATGACCACTAAATCAAAGAGAGGTACACATATATGCAATCCCTGATCTAGTACTTTTCTCATTGCTATACTAAAGCATCTGAAATATTAAGTATAAGAGAAAGAGTCTGGCTGGTTTACACTATTTGTTTCTGTTGTTGTCGTTGTTGCTGTTTTTGAGACTGAGTCTCGCTCTGTCACCCAGGCTGGAGTGCAGTGGCGCAATCTCGGCTCACTGCAAGCTCCACCTCCCCGGGTTCAAGCGATTATCCTGCCTCAGCCTCCCGAGTGGCTGGGACTACAGGCGCCTGCCACCACGCCCAGCTAATTTTTTTTGTATTTTTAGTAGAGATGGGGTTTCACCGTGTTAGCCAGGATGGTCTCAATCTCCTGATCCTGTGATCCACCCCTCTCAGCCTCCCAGAGTGCTGGAATTACAGGCGTGAGCCCTGCACCCAGCCTCTTGTTGTTTTTTTAAAGAGACAGAGTCTCTTTAAAACTTTCTCTTTTAAAGAGACAGAGTCTCAGACTGGAGTGCAATGGCACAATCATAGCTGACTATAGCCCTGAACTCGTGGGCACAAGTGATCCTCCAACCTCAGCCCCCCAGCTGGAACTACAGAAGTGTTTCATGACACCCAGCTAATTCTGTTATTTTTTTTGTAGAGACATGGTCTCCTTACAGCATCCAGGCTGGTCTCAAATTCCTGGGCTTAAGCGATCCTCCTGCCTTGGCCTCCCTAAGTGCTGGGATTACAAGTGTGAGCCACTGCACCAGCCAATGGGTTTATTATTAAATACTCAATCACATACAACTGAACAAGAAGGGCAAGTAAAAAGGGAAAGCAAAGTAGTCAATCTAATTCACATAATATGGAATCTAATTCATACAACATAGGACAAAATGCTATATATATTTCAATTCAAGGGCCAGGCACAATTTATATATATATGTATATATTTTCAAAACCTGAACTGAAATATACCTGAAAACTAATATTAATATTTGTGAACATTTACGTTATAGATGCAAATTTACTATACATTTTAGAAGATTAAAATAATCAGCCCCTAACATTTCCTAGAATCAGAGTATTCTAGGAAACCTATTATTTGACCTCTCTGCAAAGACAGAATATAATGAACAATAACTCAACAGAAAGAAAAAAAAAAAATCAAGGCATCACTTAACAGAGACTCTTAGAAAATTACACCAAATTAAAAGAAAGACAAGTTGCTAGAAAAATGGTCCATGTTCAATCCTTAATTTAGAGAAATTATTTCACTGATTCTAATATTAGCCAGTCTCCAAACTTACCTATCTGTAACAGGAAATCTGACAAACTTTGAATAAAATATTCATATATATATATATATATATATAGTTTTCTGGTTTAATTTTAGTAAAGATGTTCAGAATACTTGAAGATAACGAAGGAATAATCAATCTTCAGATTCTAAATGACAGTTACTTTAACGTACTTCAAAATGTACTTGAATTCTTAAATTAGGCCAGGCGCAGTGGCTTACACCTGTAATCACAATACTTTAGAAGGTTAAGGCAGGCAAACTGCCTGAGCCCAGAAGTTTGAAACCAGCCTGGGCAACACAGTGAAATCTCATCTCTACAAAAAATAAACAGAATTAGCTGGGAATGGTGGCACATGCCTGTAATCCCAGCTACTTGAGGGGCTAAGGTGGGAGAATTGTTTGGAAGCTGAGGCTGCAGTGAGCTGTGGCACAGTGAGCTGTGATCATGCCACTGCACTCCAACTTGGGTTGACAGAGCAAGACCCTGTCCCAAATAAATAAATAAATAAAGTTAAATAACCATGCTTTATTTAAACTGACATATAAGTATTAGATTTCTTAGATTCTTTTAGCAGTGGTAACAGTGGTAAGCCACTCTATACCACTCAGTTTAAGTTTCCTATTAAATAACATATTACATCTAGCTAAAATCATTTTTCTTAACTTCCCTCTAATTCAGCAAAGCTTTTTATAATGTCCCATTCTTATGCCTCTGTATCGTGTTAATCCTTACACTTTATACTCTCCTCTTTTCCTACACAAAACTATGACTGTTTTTCTTGACTAATTCTTCCTCTACCTATGCAACTTAATCAGTTCTTTAATGCACAGATATTCAAGTTGCAATGCACTACCTGTAATGCTGCTTCTGTAGTTATCTAGTATATGGGTAATTTGTATCCCAACTAAAATGAGAATTTCGAAACTGTAAAACTGCTTTTATTGCATTACCCTAAGCATCTACTACTGTGTTATGAATGCAGATGTCAAACACTGGAAATAAACATGCATCAAAAGAGAATACTTGTCAGAAACCAAATCTGAAGAATACTATTTGTTGATTTTATAAAAAAAATTATGGCCTAGCACAGTGTCTCACACTTATAATCCCAACACTTTGGGGAGGATGAGGTGCGTAGATCACTTGAGCAGGAGTTCGAGACCAGTCTGGGCAACACCAGAAACCCTGTGTCTACCAAAAAAAAAAAAAATTAGGTTGGTGCAAAAGTTAGCCAGGCCCAGTGGCACACACCTGTAGTCTCAGCTACTCAGGGAGGCTGAGGTGGGCGGATCACCTGTGCCTGGGAAGGTTGAGACTGAAGTGAGTGGTGATAGGGCCACTGTACTCCAGCGTGGGCAACAGAGTGAGACCCTGTCTCAAAGACAAAAAATAAAAATAATTGTTTTTTAAAAAAGTTGTATCTAATCTTAAAGAAAATACTCAGTTGTTAATTGCTTAAACAATTTTTTTCCTGGCCTGGCATGCCTGTAATCCCAGCACTTTGGGAGGCCGAGGCAGGCAGATCACCTGAGGTCAGGAGTTTGAGACCAGCCTTGGCAACATGGTGAAACCCCATCTCTACTAAAAATACAAAAATTAGCCAGGTGTGATGGTGCACACCTGTATTCCCAGCTACTCAAGGAGGCTGAGGCACAGGAATCACTTGAACCTGAGAGGCGGAGGTTGCAGTTGAGCCAACATTGTGGCGCTGCACTCCAGCCTGGGCCAAAAAAACAAGCATCCATGCATACAAGCAAGCATACAAGGTGCACAAAATAAGTTTCTGAAAAAGTTAAAAAAATGTGATAATTTTGCTGAGGGCTACAAAGGCCTACTGAGAAAAGTATTTTTTTATATTCTTTTTTTACCTGATGATAAAATCCAGCTTGAGCCATGGGATCTGGTTGTGCCCACCTATAGCCTACATGAGGCCATGAGGTAAATGTCTCCCGTCTGTTAGCTTCACTATACATCAGTGATCTAAAAGTAAACATACTTTATGTAATTGAAGTTAGGCATCAAATCACAGTGAAACTTCTATTTAACAATGCAAAAAATAATTTTACTGGGTTATCAGCAAAAACTGCAAATGGTCTGATGAACAAGTTCAATTTTTTACTTTAAACTAAAAACGGTAATTTTTGGGAATTTCCCTTAAACAGAAAGGGAAGGAGAAAACCTGATTGGTGGCTGCAGTTGATAAACAACTCCAGGGGTAGATTACATATGTTTTCATATTAAAATATATCAGCTCACTAAGAGTCAAACTATAACAGAAAGTACCAGAGTAATTTTTTAAAGGACGATAGTAAACTTTTTGAGAAGTCCAAAAGATTTTTAGTAAGAAAGGATTGATAAGCAAAGCTTATTCATCCTAACATAAAATTACAACTGATAACAGAAAGAAAAAGTGGTAAAGGTCATGACAAAGAAAACAGGAAAATACTCTTCTAAATTCTTCCCTTAAATTAGCACATGATTTTCTATAAAATTGCTAGTAACTTTAGGTTTACTCGTAGTTGTATTCAGGTTTTTAAACAAATAGCTGTTTGGTTAGAAATGCATTCTCAGTTTCACATTATATGTGTCTTTAGGATCAGTCTTAGAACAGAAGACCTATCTCATTTCGTTATATTACCCAATAAAACAGCAGTAGCATCCAATAGACCCTAACTCAAACCTTCCACAGACCTAAGTTCATCAAAGCCTTCAGAGGCTCCTAGATTGATTTTTAATGAAAAAAACACCACAGTCTGTATCAAAATTAATATTTTAGGACATTTTTAACACCTCTAAAAATACTGAATATCCCATCTAATGGCTGCATTTCCTAAAATATAACATTTACCACAGCTTGCACTGATTTCTTTAGAAACACTGCAACTGTTTGCAAAGAAAATAGCTCTGCAGAGCTGACTCTTTTATAATCTCAAAATAGGCATAGATCTCAGACAAGAAGCACTTGTTCTAATTACGTATTTTTCTTTTTTCCCATCTCAGGCATATCCCAAAGAATATTTTAATGACAGCCATAGCACATATCACCAGATAATCTGATTAAAAATGATAGTCTGCATGTTGCCCAAGAGATTACTACTACAGAATATAAAAATTCTGCCCAATTGTTAATACGACTAATAAAAGTTATATATGTAACAACAAAATCACTTAACTAACAAAAAGAGGGTAAGTGATTACGCAGAAATCAGTTTACCAAAAGATAAATTAATAAATATTGCTACTGAACTAGAAGAGCCATACTAAAAATAATAGAAGTTTAAAATGAATTTATTCAGTAGTGCCTTTGATAACATCTGCACATACTATTTATAAATGTACTTCAGAAAGATGCTTAGGAAATTACAAGTCACATCCAATGAAAATGTAAAAATATAAATACTACAGCTGGGCACAGTGGCTCACACCTGTAATCCCAGCACTCTAGGAGGCCAAGACGGGTAGATCACCTTGAGGTCAGGAGTTCGAGACCAGCCTGGCCAACATGGTGAAACCCTGTCTTTACTAAAAATACAAAAAATGAGCCAGGCATGCCGGGTGCAGTGGCTCACGCCTGTAATCCCAGCACTTTGGGCGGCCAAGGTGGGTGGATCATAAGGTCAGGAGCTCGAGACCATCCTGGCTAACACGGTGAAACCCCACCTGTACTAAAAATACAAAAAATTAGCTGGGCATGGTGGCGGGCACCTGTAGTCACAGCTACTCGGGAGGCTGAGGCAGGAGAATGGCATGAACATGGGAGGCGGAGCTCGCAGTGAGCCAAGATCATGCCACTGAACTCCAGCCTGGGCAACAGAGCGAGACTCCATCTCAAAACAAAAATATAAAAAAAAGAAAATTTGGCTGGGTGCCATGGCTCATGCCTGTAATCCCAGCACTTTGGGAGGCCAAGGCAGGTAGATCACCTGAGGTAGGGAGTTCGACACCAGCCTGACCAACACAGAGAAACACTGTCTCTACTAAAAATACAAAATTAGCCCCGGTATGGTGGCACATGTCTGTAATCCCAGCTACCAAGGAGGCTGAGGCAGGAGAATTGCTTGAATCTGGGAGGCAGAGGTTGCGGTGAGCCGAGATCGTGCCATTGCACTCCAGCCTGGGCAACGAGCGAAACTCTATCTCAAAAAAAAAAAAAAATCAGCCATGCATGGTGGTGGACGGTTATAATTCCAGCTACTCAGGAGGCTGAGGCAGGAGAATCTCTTGAATCTGGGAGGCAGAGGTTGCAGTGAGCCAAGATTGTGCCACTACACTCCAGCCTAGGCGACAAGAGTGAAACTCCGTCTCAAAAATAAATAAATAAATACTACATGAAAAGGCAAACAAAAATCTAATCAAAATTGCTGCGTATTATATTTCAGTACAGCATTTCTAAACCTTGGTACTTTTTGTAAGAACCTCAATCGTCATTTCAAATAGCAAATCATTTAAGTATTTAAATGAATGTGTCACTGGTTTTTTAATTAATTAAACAAAATAGGCATTCAAAAAAACCTCTACCAAAGAAAATGATGGTTTAGGTATGATTTTTGTAATACTGTTTAAATCCAGGGCGAGCAGCATAAAAAATTGTTAACTCAAAATTATTCCTATTATTTTTTAAACTGGTCTTTTTTTTTTTTTCATTATAAAATGATAGCACTTTCCTTATACTCACATTAGGGCATGGTAAGTTAGGCAAAATTTATCTCAAAGGTCACAAAATGTCATCAATGGAAAAATAGTTATTAATCATTAAATAATTATAGTAATTTTAATTTGACTAAAATATTTACTAAGCAAGTACTAAACTGGAATTTCCAAAATGTGGCTTTATAATCCCTTCAAATACCTTTAGTGTACTAAAATATAGTGTTTAAAAATAGCAATTCAAGTAGCAGTTTACTTTAAATCTGGTTTTCAGATTCTAATTCATATTGATTTTTTTTTAATTTCAAAATTAGGCTAGAAATTGTGAAATTTTTAAAAATCATAACCAGATTTTCTAGTTATTCCTTGTTTAATGCAAAAACTAATCAATTCTATCTCACTGTCACCTTTGTTAGCAAGGTTCATACCTGTCTACAGAACGGCCTGGCCCCACTCCGAGTTCTGGACGTGCACTAGGTAAGAGGTAAGACAATCTGTCCATCACTGAGGACGCCACAGGTAAGGCAGCAACATTTTGATTTATTTTCTTGAGTTCATTTACAATGGCACTGGCAATGGACTTCAACACATGATGAGGAAGATGAAATGTAACTGTGGCCCACTGAAAGAAAATGGGAGTATAAGCAAAGGAAAATGTACTCAACAGTTTTAACCAAAATCATAACTTAACCATTATCAAATAAAGAACACTCATCAGTTTCAAGTCAGTTTTCTTCATTAGTTTATCATTTAAAACAGAAACTTGCAGTTATAAAAAAAAATAAAATATTTTACAAAAGCCAAGATATGGAACCAATCTAAGTATCCATCAATGGGTGACTGGGTAAAGAAAATGTGCAGTAAAGGCCAGGTGCAGTGGCTTACGCCTGTAATCCCAACACTTTGGGAAGCTTAGGAGGAATTAATTTTAGTGATCTGGTGACTGCAGTTACTAATCATGTATTGTATATTTCTTTTTTTTTTTTTTTTTGAGACGGAGTCTTACTCTGTCGCCAGGCTGGAATGCAGTGGTGCAATCTCGGCTCACTGCAACCTCTGCCTCCTGGGTTCAAGTGATTCTCCTGCCTCAGCCTCCTTGAGTAGCTGGGATTACAGGCATGCGCCACCATCCCTGGCTAATTTTTTTGTATTTTTAGTACAGACGGGGTTTCATCAGGTTGGTCAGGCTGATCTCCTGACCTGATGATCTGTCCGCCTCTGCCTCCCAAAGTGCTGGGATTACAGGCATGAGCCACTGCGCCTGGCCCACGTATTGTATATTTCAAAATTGCTAAAAGAATAGATTTTAAACATTCTCATCACAAAGAAATGGTAAGTAGGTGAGTTGATAGATATGTTAATTAGCTTAATTTAATCTTTCTATAATGTATACATATATTACAACATCACATTATACCTCATAAATATATACAATTATTTATCAATGAAAATTTTTTAATTTTTTAAATGAAACCTCAACTAACTATTCTGGAAAAGACAATTCAGAACCAGACAGTAACACATGTTCTTATATATATCACCAAAAATTAAGGACAACTAAAATCATCTGTCATTTTTCCTATTCATCCAGTACAATGTTAAGCACAGAGTAGGCACTCAAATACCTCCATCCATAAGAATATATTTAGACAATTACCATTACTGGGGTATATGAGGATTTAGTTCAGCTTAGCAGATGCATTGTTTTTGTTGCTGTTGTCACCATAATCCAGCAATAGCAACTAAAAACACAGGCCTTATAGTCACACATCTGGATTCTGGGCCCAGCTTCGCCATCAGCAATATTCGATAAATGTTAGCCATGATTATTTAATATTACAACAATTACTGAAGTTAGACCACAAAAATGCTAAGTACTATTCTCCCAGAGAAATAAGTCTATAATGTAATTGCATCTTTATATCCTGTCCCCAGTTCACCCATGAATGGTTTCTACTCTTGTCTAGTATACTCAAGGCAGCCTAGTAAATTATTATTTATCTATACAATACTGGAAAAACTTGTAGACAAAAACATGACTTGAATTGCTAAAAAAAAAAAAAAAAAAAAGAGGGAGAATGAAAACTTCTAGACCTAATTAATCTGTTCACAGATCAGAGCTTTTTATTGAAAGGGAGGATGACTCCCCTTGAGAAAGGATCCTATGATACCCCAACTATAGTTGGTACTGTAAATCATACTCCAAACCTTCCCTCAGAAAGACCTATGGGCATTCACTACAGTGACTGTGCATGGGGGAAAAGATCTTTCAGGCATTACAAAAACATGGCACTGAACTGACCTAAAACATCACTGTGGTCCAAGAAAGAGGGCACGTAGGATGGTCAAGCGATTAATAAAGTTTCAGCCCAAAGCTGTCTCAGAGAGTTCTATGGGTCTGTAAATCCTTATTGTGTAATAGTTACTTCCCCAGTTCCTGAATGCATAATATAAAACAGGCAACTGAAAACAATCCCCAGATTAGCTCTCTGCTCTTCTCTGTGGGCCAGTAATATAGAAAACATGAAGTATAAGCCCCTAGAACTTTCCTTCTCTACAAAGATATTAAACTAAAGCAATGCTACATTCCTGAAGAAATTTTTTAGATTAATGCCACTGTAAAAGATTTGAGGTTGGGCACAGTGCCTTCATACCTATAATCCTAGCACTTTGTGAGACTGAGGATGGAGGTTCGTTTGAGCCTAAACGTCTGAGACCATCCTGGTCAACATAGCAAGATCTCATCTCTACTAAAAAATAACAGCCAGGCGTGATGGCATGCACTTGTCATCCCAGCTACTCAGAAGCCTTGAGGTGGGAAAATCACTTGAGCCCAGGACGGCAAGGCTACAGTAAGCCAAAATCACACCACTGTACTCCAGCCTGAGTGACAGAGCAAGACCCTGTATTGGAAAAAAAAAAAAAAAGAGAGAGAGACTTAAAAGATACAGAGGTAATCAAATGACCTCGTCCCCTTTACTGGACTGTTGTAAATGAATCTTGAAGAATGACTGTGGATGGTAAACTATCAGGTGGCGACTTCCATTGCAGCTGCTTTTCCAAATGAGGTATCTTTATTAAAGCAAATCAACAAATCCCCTGATATCTGGTAGGTAGTTACAGTTCTATCCAATATTTTTCTATCTTTACTTTTAAGGACTATACAAAAAGTCCACTTTTACCTGGCAGGAACAATAATAAATCTTTGCAATCTTTCCCTAAGACCACATCTCACATTCTAGAAATCCTGATCATCCTAACATCCTGCAGATCAACATAATGGTCCACTACATCATGACAGCACGCTGATTGGTCCAGATGAAAAGGAAACAGCAAGGAAATTAAATGCCTGAGTAAGGTGCAAACCAGAGAATAAGAGTCCCCAGAAAAACTCAAGATTCTGCAACCATGGTTAAGTTTCAGAGGTCCAGAGGTCTGGTCATGTCAGGATATTCCCTCCAGACTGAAAGACAAGTTGCTCCAACTTGTAACACCAACCACAGAAACAAAAGCCACAGTACTTAGTGGGCCTACTTGGATTTGGGAGCCAATATTTAGCATACTTGAATGTGTGCTCTAATCCAAGTATCAAGAAACATATAAGGTTGCCAATTTTGAGTAAGGTGCAAAACAAGAAACTCTGCAACAAGACCAGACTGTACTGCAAGATGCTCTGCCACTTTTACCTTAAGAGCACTTTCAATGACACTGACACTAGAAGTCCACAGCAAATAATGATGCTGTAAGGAGCCTGTGGCAACCTAATTGGGACAATCACACAGCAGAATGCTAGGGTCTTGGAGCAAAGCCACACCCTCTCATGCAAATAACCATTCTCCTTTTGAAAAACAGCTCCTAGTTCCTTACTAGTCCCAGATAGAGATTAATATCTATCTACGAAACTAATGTCTACAAATTCAGAGCTGTCCAAATGTTATCTGACACACCAACCATAATATTGAGCACCAGCAACAAGTATCCTTCATCAAGTGTTTTATAAAAGATCTGTCTTCACAAAGTCCAAAAGGCAAAAACTGAATAAACAAGTGGCTCAGAATTCAATACCTACTCCCACTATAATGTCTCCTCCTTGTTCTACATCAATAGCTTCATGGGGAACTCCTTATGATGAAATAATATGAGGGGAAAATACTCTTGGCCCTGATTTACAGATGGTTCTGCATGATATGCTGGTACTACCCCGAAGTGGATGGCTACAGAATCATAGCCCCAATCACAAGGAGAGTGGTGAAGGTAAATCTTCTCAATAGATAGAACTTCAGTCAGTATGTATGACTGTTCTTGTATGGATTTAGAGTTGGCTAGAAGTAAAGATCCTCACTAGTTAACAGAGTTGCTAATTTGTTAGCTAGATGGTCAGGCACTTGGAAGAAACAGAACTAGAAGACTAGCAGCAAGGAGGTCAAAAACAAAGGTCTATGAATAGAACTCTCAGAGGGTAAAAATACGTATGAAATATGTCAATGCAGACCAAAAGGCATCCATTTCAGAAGAAATGGGAGAAGTTATACACATTATATACATGACAGTAAGCCTCTCTCCACGGGCACTCCAGTGCTTGCTCAATGGACTTGTGTGCAAAATACCATGGCAACAGATATGGAGGCTATGCACAGGCCCAAAAATGTAAACTTCCCTGTACCAATACTAACCAGGCTACAGCTGTTGCTGATTGCCTAATCTGCCAAACAGTTACCAAAGTTGGGTGGCAAATATCACGTCATTTCCCAGGGGGAACAGCCAGCTATCTGACAGTAGGTTGATTATACGGGATTCCTAGTCATGGACTAGGCAGCAATTTGTCTTCAACATAACAAATATATATTCTAGGTATGCATTTACCTGTTCTGTCCATAGTTTTCTGCCGTAATATTATATAGTCCATTGCCTGTGGACTGACAGAATGTCATGGTATTGTAGAAAACTTTGCTTCTGATCAAGAAAAGTATTTCAAAGCAAAAAAAAAAAAAAATCTTTTTTCCACTGGTCTTACTGTGTATCATCCTGATGAAGCTGGCCTGGCAGAAAAGCTCAATGGCCTACTAAAGACTCATTTTCAACGCTAACCGAAAGAGACATGCTGAAAGGTTATGGAGTTCTACCTTACAAGATGAAGCATATGCTTTGAATCAACCAAAAATGTATGATACAGTTTCTCTGGGCATGCCCACTATTATATTTAATAAACTCATTCACAGATTTTTTTTAAAGCTTTCAGCTCTACAGGTCTTACTCCCAAGGGAGGAATGTTCCAGCAGGGGTACAACAACACTTCCATTGAAGTGGGTGTTGAGATTGCTACCCAGCAACTTTGAGGTCCTCTTGCCACTGAATAAATAGTCAAAGAAGTTCTACTAGTTTGTATGACTGGAACTGACAAGCGGAAACCTGGATTGATGCTAAGTAACAGGGGCAAGGAGAACTTATGCAGAACCCAAGAGATTCTCTAGGATGCCCCTTAGTACTTCCAAGTCCAATAGTAAAGATGAAGTAACAATTACAACTTAAAATACAGCACCAGCTGGGCTTGGTGGCTCAAACCTGTAATCCCAGCACTTTGGGAGGCCAAGACGGTTGGATCACCTGAGGTCAGGAGTTCAAGACCAGCCTGGCCAACACAGTGAAACCCCGTCTCTACTAAAATACAAAAAATTAGCCAGGTGTGGTGGCCCGTGCCTATAGTCCCAGCTACTGGGGAGACTGAGGCAGGAGAATGACTTGAACCCAGAAGGCGGAGGTTGCAGTGAGCTGAGATCACTGCACTCCAGCCTGGGTGACAAAGTGAGACTCCATCTCAAAAAATAAAATAAAATAAAGACACAGCACCAGTGAGGATTCAGATTCTTCAAGAATGAAGATGGGTCGTTCATGTACGTAAAGAATCCTGACCAGTTGAGATGCTGAATGATGACAGAGCTAATAAGGAACAGGTAATACAAAAAAAAGAAATTAGATATCTTCTTGACTATTATACATCCTCTTGACCAATATATCCTCTTGACCATTATAAACTGAGGACTAGGCTCACGCCTGGAATCCCACCACTTTGGGAGGCCAAGGTGGGCAGATCACACGGTCAGGAGTTCAAGACCAGCCTGACCAACATGGTGAAACCGTCTCTACTAAAAATACAAAAGTTAGCCAGGCGTGGTGGCACGCGCCTGTAATCGCAGCTACTCGGGAGGCTGAGGCAGGAGAACCACCTGAACCCAGGAGGTGGAACTTGCAGTGAGCCGAGATCACACCACTGCACTCCAGCCTGGGTGACAGAGACAGACTCCGTCTAAGAAAAAAAAATTAAATTAAAAAATTAAATAAACTGAGGACCAGGCCACGTGCGGTGGCTCACACCTGTAACCCCAGCATTTTGGGAGGCCAAGGTGGGTGGATCATGAGGTCAGGAGTTCGAGACCAGCCTGACCAACATAGTGAAACCCCATGTCTATTAAAAATGCAAAAAGTAGCCAGGCATGGTGGTGCACATCTGTAATCCCAGCTACTCAGGAGGCTGAGGCAGGAGAACTGCTTGAACCCAGGAGACGGACGTTGCAGTGAGCCAAGATCGCACCACTGCACTCCAGCCTGGGCAACAGCACAAGACCCCATCTCCAAAAATAAAAATAAATTTTTTAAAAAGCATAATAGTTTTGTTATATGAAAGTTCAAATATATAAAGTGTGAATGGAGATGCTGAGTAGCCAAAGGGGTAGACTGTGCAGTTAATTAAACTGTTGTCTCTGAGCTCCAAATCTACCCTTTAATTCTCTGCTCTATCAGGTTGGGGCTAGGACTCTGCATACTGTATTTCCTCTTTTCAACCAGTTTCCTGGCTTTTAGGTTCTCCCAGCAACAGCACAGGAAGGAAACTGGAAAGAAAGATGAAGAAAGACTTGCTCCTTCTTATTTACTGGCCATTGCCATCAGCACTGTTTCAGCAAAGGACATGATGCAGTAGTTGATTCTTCCAGTCTTCAGCATTTTGTTTTGGTTTGGTTGTTTTAGCATTCCGAGATCCAGTTTCATAGAGTTCCCTCAGAGGTACTACCATCAGTCAAGTAGCATCTCTCTTCAGAGATCTGAGTCCCAGTTTTGCAACGCCCTCGTCCAAGCTCCTGAGTTACCAACTGGGTAGCACTTCCTAGTCCCAGATCCACGGGGCCTATTCTCTAAGTTTCTAGGTTCTGATAACCCCTAATCTCTACTCTTTGTTCCTCCAGACCTAGGTGAAAACTGCTTCCTATAGTTATCTCTGTTATCTCAGGATCTCCTTTTCACTTTTTCAGTTTTCAAACACCAGTTAATTTCTTACAATAAATTATCTCTGTTGAAACTCATAGGACAGTTTCTGTTTTCCTAAATAAAATGCCCCATCAATAGAGTAAGGTATAATACAATCATGACAAATCTACAAAAAAAAATTCAATGCAACTACTAAGAAGAACATAGATGATCTCTGAGGATATGAGAAGATATCCAAGACAAATTCTTGAGTGAAAAAAAGCAAGGTGGCCAGGCACGGTGGCTCACACCTGTAATCCCAACACTTTGGGAGGCCGAGATGGGTGAATCACGAGGTTAAGAGCTCAAGACAAGCCTGGCCAACATAGTGAAACCCAATTTCTACTAAAAATACAAAAATTAGCCAGGCATGGTGGCGTGTGCCTATAATCCCAGCTACTCGGGAGGCTGAGGCAGGAGAATAGCTTGAATCCACGAGGCGGAGGTTGCAGTGAGATAAGATCACACCACTGCACTCCAGCCTAGGTTACAGAGTGAGACTCTGTCTCGAACCAAAAAAAAAAAAAAAAAAGAGCCAGGTGCAGTGGTTCACACCTGTAATCCCAGCACTCTAGGAGGCCAAGGCAGGCAGATCACCTGAGGTCGGGAGTTCGCCACCTGCCTGACCAACATGGCGAAACCCTGTCTCTACTAAAAAATACAAAATTTGCCAGGCGTGGTGGCGCACGCCTGTAATCCCAGCTACTCAGGAGACTGAGGCAGGAGAATCACTTGAACCCGGGAGGCAGAGGTTGCAGTGAGCCGAGATTGTGCCATTGCGCTGCAGCCTGGGAAACAAGAGCAAAACTCTGTCTCAAAAGAAAAAATAAAAGAAAAAAAGCAAGGTATATCATAACACAATATTAGTATATTTTAGTATAGTTACAACTGCACTTGAGAAAAATCTTTGCAAATGCCCAAGTTACTTATAGGAAAATGGCTTTTACCTTCTACCTTATATCCTTCAATAACAGGGAAGTTTGATATGCAGTATAACTTAGAAAAGGCCTTAAAAGAAAAATCTGGAGGAAATTAATAAAAATATACCCAAGGATTTAATTGAAAGCACTGTCTCTCATATACATCCCAGTATGCCAAAAAATTTCAGAGAAAGCACAAAATGGCTCAATTTCCAAAGACATAGTCCATTCTTATCCAAGCATCCAAGCTCACAACCTAACAAGGAAGCTTCTTTCATCAGCCTCTTGACCAATCCAGGTCCATCAGGCACTAAGAAAGATTTAAGGAAGCATCAGAAAACACAATAAGCAAAATAGTTCCCACAAACTGAAGTTAAGCTTCGATTAAGAAGTTTCAAAGTTTCAACTTTTTTCTTTTTTTTTGGGCAACAGAGTCTCACTCTTTCCCCCAGGCTGTAGTGCAGTGGCGCAATCTCTGCAATCTCAGCTAACTCCGCCTCCTGGGTTCAAGTGATTCTCATGTCTCAGCCTCCAAGTAGCTGGGATTACAGGCGCCTGCCACCACGCCTGGCTAATTTTAGTATTTTTAATAGAGATGGGGTTTCGCCATGTTGGCCAGGCTGGTCTCAAACTCCTGACCTCAGGTGATCTGCCCGCCTCAGCCTCCCTCAGCTGGGATTACAGGTGTGAGCCACCGTGCCCAGCCAGTTTCAACTTTAAGATGACTTATAAGCACATTCTGCTTTTTAAAAGAAAAATCTAGAATTAGAACATTTCCAAAAGGAGAGGAAAGGAAAGTGCAAAAGAATGGAGGTGTCCATTGTAATATAACCCCAAAAGAGGCAATCTATTAACTTCTTACCTTAGCAACTTTGTGGTTTGCTGCAGTCTCATGAGATGTATTTTTTAAACCATCTTTGAGCTGTGTGATGAACAAATCATAACCCTCTGTACTAGAAATATCTACCTTTTCTAAACATGCTGATAAGAGCTGCTGTGCCTAAATAAAAAATAAAAAATAAAAAAATCACAGAAAATTCAACACAAGAACAACAAAAAATTAAATTCAGATCCTCTTTCAGATATTTTAATATGCAATGATTATGACAGGTACTATACTAAACTTACCTTTTAACAAATCTACTTAATTAAACAATAATTTAAAGGGCTATTATAAAATTAAATGAGATAAAGCAATGTATTCAGTGTAGAAATACTACATGGTAAAGTTTAAACACAAAGTAGTTATTGTAAACCAAATCAAGATAGAAAAATGGACAAGCTGAAACCATAAGCAAAAATAATACAGGAAAAAATCTGAAGAGACAAACTTAAAGTCCTCCAATGAGCTTTAAATACTCAAGCTATATAAAGTCATAATAGAGGACACTAAGTCAGCAAGTAATATGAAAAAGCCCTTTGCATTGTTATCCACATATTCAATATGAACTACTGTAATAAAGATATATGCTAATATAAGGAAAAGAATATATCTACACTGAGCAAATCAAACCTAAGACTTTAGGGAAGACAGTGACAAACTAATCTGATGCAGTAAAGGAAGCCTGGAATGCTGGAAGATCTACAAACAATATTATCTGAACAACAGTTACAGCTGTGATTAAAGTACAAAGAGAAAAAAAACAGTAGATTTAACAGTAAACTAGGTGGAGGAAGGGATAGAAGCTAAACAGCATTTCACTGTAGTAGGAAAAACACTGACTTGAGAGTTAATAAGTGTTCAAGTATTTTATTGTAATTCTTTAATTGTTTGTTAAACCTAAACATAGTTTGATAGTGTTTTTTTGCTGCTGATTATATATCCTGATATCAGCTGGTTTATATTCCTTAAATTAGGGAAAAATGTTCAATTTTTTCAAATGGTTTTTCAAAGTTTCTACTTGTTCAAATCAAGTAGAACTAATTAATTCTCTATCCAAAGATTTTAGACATGCCTCCAGACCCAAATACTCTGATGAGAAAAAGACAGCTTCTCTGTTTTTGGAACTCAAACTTTCAGCAACATGCTTTCAATATTAACATATAATAGACTACTGTTATATGACACTAAATGTAAAATCTAAGTGAATATACTTTATTGGACATACTTTTTTGATAACTTTCATAACAAGTTAGCATGAACACAAATAATATCTCACTTTATTATAGAACACAACATAATCTTTTACATTCTATTTAAGGTGATGCAAAATCCAGTAATTATGAAAAATGTACTTTCAAACTGCAGGATATGAAGCCACACAAAAGAATTTAAGTTGGGCTAGACTTAAAAATTAAGTAAAGAAAATTTAACACTACAGAAAAGTATATATGGCTAAAACTTAAAACTCAAGTTATTGAAAGACATGATGCATAGCAAAAATTACTGGTTGTGTGGCTGGGTGCGGTGGCTCACGCCTATAATCCCAGCACTTTGGGAGGCTGAGGCGGGCGGATCAATTGAAGTCAGGAGCTCAAGACCAGTCTGGCCAACATGGTGAAACCCGTCTCTACTAAAAATACAAAAATTAGCTGGGTGTGGTGGTGCATGCCTGTAATCCCAGCTACTAGGGAGGCTGAGGCAAGAGAATCACTTGAACCCGGGAGATGAAGGTTGCAGTGAGCCAAGGTCAAGCCACTGCACTCCTGCCTGGGTGACAGAGCAAGACTCTGACTCAAAGAAAAAAAAAAAAATTACTGCTGTTTTACCAGAGTCTATTCCTCTCTCATTTTAAAATATTAAAAAAAAGAAAGAAAGAACCACCTCTTTCCCAGTCTCCCTCTCAGCTTGGTGTGGTCATGTGACTAAATTCTGTCTAATGGGGTAAATATGAGGCTATATGAGAGAGTATTTGAGTTGTGAAAGGCAGAAAGAGAACAAGAACAAATGAGTAGGAGAGGGGGCTGGGGGTTAAGGGACAGGGAAAGGGAAGGAGAGAAGAGAGAGATGCCAGAGTGCTCTCCTCTAGCCTCTTGCCCTCTCTTTCCCTGTGACTGGGAAATAATGACACCTAGAGCAGCTGTCTTAAACTCCCAAGCTAACCCAAGTGTTGAGGTTGGCAATGATGGCCATACACTTAGCCCTGGACTATTATTGGAAACAAGCTATCCTGTTTAAGCCATTGTTTTTTTGGGTCTCGGTTACAGCTGTTTAACCTGTGCTGATGCACCATTCACACCTAAAAACACCACTTCAACAAGAATTAATTATGCAGAGAAAAGGTGAGTATTAATATTTAAATGAAGTTGTGGTCAATAAGTAAATTGTTTTTATAGCAATATATATAATAACGTCCTTAAAGGATGACTTAATTTCATTTAACATCTAATATGTCTAAGATTACATTAAGTAGAGGACCACATTGATACTTATTTCAACTTACCTCTGTAACGGGTAATTCAAGCTGAACCACATCATCCTGCTTTGAAACTGGAGTTTGCAGAGCAGTGTCTAACAACAAGATTCCATTAAGGTCCTTCCTACACCCTACTGCATAATCATCCACAAATATAACTTTATCCACAGCAGAGATATACTGACATTTCACCTGTCCACCTGGTTTAGCTGTTAAAAGAACAAAAATTCAACACTTAAGATTTTCAGGCCAATGGTCTATTAAAAATAAATGTTTACATAGTGACTAAACACAATATATTATCCTGAATTGGATCTTAAACTGGAAAAAACTTCTCTAAAGAACATTATTGGGCCAACTGGATTAAATTCAAATATGTACCATAAATTAGATAAAAGTATCAATGTGAAATTACTAAAATTTGACAACCAAATTGCTATTATAAAAGAACATCATTGTTCTGAGAAATAAACACAGCAACAGTATAGGGAAAATGAGCATGATATATGCAACCAACTCTCAAGTAGAATAAAATATGATGTGTATACACACACACACACACACACACACACACACACACACATATATATTAAGGGAATAATAAGCAAATGTAGTAAAATGTTTAAAACTAGTAGAGCTGGGTAAAGGGTATATAGGGAAGTTCTTTGTAACATTCTATTCTTGCAATTTTTCTGTAAGTGCAAAATGAAAGTGTTCAAAAACAAAACTTTTAAAAATGAATTATTGGATGTCATTTTTTGCAAAACTCAATAAGCATAAAGACAGCATGGACAGTTATTAGATACAGCAGTGCCCCTCCTTATCTGCAGTTTCACTTTGTGCAGTTTCAGTTACCCAGTCAATAGAAGCCCAAAAACAGGTAAGTATGGTACAATAAGATATTTTCAATCAAAGGTCCAAAAGTACAGTACATAAGATATTCTGAGAGACCACATTCACATAACTCCTAATATATTGTAATTGTTCTATTTTATTATTAGTTGTTAATCTGTCACTATGCCTACATTTTAAATTAAACTTTATTACAGGTATGCATAAGAAGAAAACCCAGCTAACCCTCGAACCATACAAGTTTGAACAGCATGAGACCACTCATACATAAATTTTTTTCCAATTCATACATTGAAAAAAATTTCAGAGATTTGTGACAATTTAAAAAACATGTAGACAAAACACGTAGCCTAGAAATATCTAAAAAATTAAGAAAACAGTATGTCACTGATGCATAAAATATATGTAGATATTAGTCTATTTGATCATTTACTGACATAAAATATACACAAATCTACTATAAAGTTAAAATTATCAAAACTTACGCACACAAATAGTACATGGCACCAGTCAAGAAAAATGTAAACAAATGTAAAAAATACAGTATTAAATCATAACTAAATAAAATTAGCTGTAGTACATATTATAAAACTGTGATAATTTTGTTCCTATTGCAGTGAGTTCAAGTGTTATGAGTACCACCATGTGACCCTAATCATATCCAGGTGAGCAGTTCATCTCTCAATTGTTAATTGGTAATCGCAGTAAAAAGTGATCTCTCCTGATTCTCATGTATTTTCCTTTTTTTTTTTTTTTTTTGAGACCGAGTCTTGCCCTGTCCCCCAGGCTGGAGTGCAGTGGCATGATCTCGGCTCACTGCAAGCTCTGCCTCCCGGGTTCATGCCATTCTCCTGCCTCAGCCTCCCGAGTAGCTGGGACTACAGATGCCTGCCACCTCACCCGGCTAATTTTTTTGTATTTTTAGCAAAGATGGGGTTTCACCGTATTAGCCAGGATGGTCTCGATCTCCTGACCTCCTGATCTGCCCGCCTGGGCCTCCCAAAGAGCCGGGATTATAGGCGTGAGCCACTGCGCCCGGCCATCTCATGTATTTTCATCGGGTTTAGTGCAATACCATAAACCCTGAATAACACTATGAAACCCATAAAAGGTAACACTAGTGATGCTCGAAGTGTTCCCAAAAGGCAGGGACAAGTCATATGATTACAATAAAAAGCTGAATTGCAAAAAAAAAAAAAAAGAGAGAGAAAGAAAATACATTTACGGCACTATATTGCACTTATCAATACGGTAAATGTATGTCATCTGTTTACAAAATGAATCCTGTGCCTGAAATGGCACGCAACCACAGCTGGAGACCTCAGTCTATGGTACGTATCAAGCAATTTGGCTTTTTCGGCCTGGCATGGTGGCTCATGCCTGTAATCTCAGCACTTTGGGAGGCCGAGGTGGGCGGATCACAAGGTCTGGAGTTTTTTGGGGGTTTTTTTTGTTTGTTTGTTTTTTTAGAGACAGGGTCTCGTTACGTTGCCCAGGGCAACGCCTGGGGCTCAAGCCATCCTCCTGAGTGGCTAGGACTACAGGAGCACACCACTGTGCCTGGCATGTCAACATACTTATTGGTAAAAGACTGAATACTTTCCCATACAGATCAGGAACAAGACAAGGATGTATGCTCTTACCATTCCTATTCAATACTATACTAAAAGATCTAGTCACTGCACTAAAAAATCAGGATATAAAAGGCAAACAAATCAAAAAGAAATAAAACTGTCCCTTTTTACAGAAATGATTACCCGTGTAGATAAAAATCAATCATACTTTTCTATACGAGCACTGATTAATCTAAAACCAAAATTTATTTTTAAAATACCAGTTTACAATAGCTCTAAAACATACTTAGACATACATATACACAAAAGGTGTATATGTATGCTGAAAAGTATAAAAGGCTGATTACACAAATCAAAAGCCTAAATAATACCATGTTCATGGACTGAACAAGTCAATCTGGTAAAAACCTCAACACTCCCCAAATGGATCTACAGATTTAACGGAATTTCAATCAAAATCCCAGGTGGCGTCAGCATGGTGGCTCACACCCATAATACAACACTTAGGGAGGCCTACACGGAAGGATCGCTTGAGCCAGGAGTTTGAGACCAGCCTGAGACAGACCCCGTATCTATCTTAATTTAAAAATTAAAAAAATTGCCGGGCGCGGTGGCTCACGCCTGTAATCCCAGCACTTTGGGAGGCCGAGGCAGGTGGATCACAAGGTCAGGAGATCGAGACCATCCTGGCTAACACAGTGAAACCCCGTCTCTACTAAAAATACAAAAAATTAGCCGGGCGTGGTGGCGGGCGCCTGTAGTCCCAGCTACTCGGGAGGCTGAGGCAGGAGAATGGCGTGAACCTGGGAGGCGGAGCTTGCAGTGAGCCAAGATCACGCCACTGCACTCCAGCCTGGGCGACAGAGTGAGACTCCGTCACAAAAAAAAAAAAAAAATTAAAAAAATTTAGCCAGGTGTAGTGGCACACACCTGTGGTTCTAGCTACTCGGACACTGAGGTGGGAGGATCACTTGAGCCCAGGAGTTCAAGGCTACAGTGAGCTATGATTGCACCATATAAATAAACTGACTGAAATGTATTTGAAAAGGCAGTACCACAAGAAAGTGTGGTACTGGCAAAGGACAGACATATAGCTCAATGGAACAAAATAGAGTCAAGAGATATGACTATATAAACATGGCCATTGGATTTTTTTCAATTATGTAGTTTTTTTAATTGTGGTAAAATAAACATAAAATTTACCATTTTATCATTTAAGTGTACAGTTGAGTGGTATTGAGTATATTCATGCTGTTGTTTATCCATCAGGATAAAGGGAAACTCTGTACGCTTTAAACAGTAACTGACTTTTATCCCCTCTCCCCAAAGCCTGGCAACCACTTTGCTACTTTCTGTCTTCATGAATTCGACTACTCTAAATATCTCACATGAATGGAAGGAATCATACAGTATTTTTCCTTTTGTGACTGGCTTATTTCCCTTAGCATAATGTCCTGAAGGTTCCTCCACATTAGAGCCTATGTCAGAATTTCCTTCCTTTTATCCATTCAACTATCAATGGACAGACACTTAGGTTGCTTCTGCCTTTTGGCTATTTCGAAGAGTGCTGCTATGAACACTGGTGTACAAATATCTCCTTGATTCCCTGCTTTCAATTCTTTGAGGTACACACCCAGAAACAGAACAGCGATCATATGGTAATTCTATTTTTTCCTTAATTTTCTGAGGAAACTCCACCATCTCCCATAATGGCTGCACCATTTTATATTCCCACCAGCAGTGCACAAGAGTGCCAATTTCTCCACATCCTCACCAACACTTATTCTCCGTTGTTGTATTTTGTATATGGTGTTAAAGTCCAACTTTATACTTTTTGCACGTGAGTATCCAGTCTTCCCAGCAACATTTGTTGAAAAGATTGTCGCTTCCCCCAATGAATGGTCTTGGCCTCCTTGCTGAAAATCATTTGACCATATATGCAATAGTTTATTTCTCGGCTCTATATTCCTTCAGTCTATATGTCCATCTTTATGCTGGTACTTTGCTATATTGATTACTGTAGCTTCATACTAAATTTTGAAATCAAGTGTTAATCTTCCAACTCTGTTCTTTGTCAAGATTATGTTGAACTATTTAGGGTCCCTTGAGATTCTATATGAATTTTAGAACAGATTTTTTTTTTTTCCTGCAGAAATAGAAAAAAGTTACTGGGATTTTGATAGGAATTGCAATGAGTCTGCAAATTGCAATGAGTCTGCAAATTGTTTGGGGCAGTATAGATATCTTAACAATATAAAGATAGTATGAAGTTCTGGCAAGGATGCAGAACAACTGGAACTCTCATACATTTCTAAAGGAAATACAAATGGTACAGCCACACTGGTTTGACAGTTTCTTACAAAGTTAAACACAAACTTACCAAATGGCCCTGTAATCCCACTTCTGTGTATTTACCCTGGAGACATAAAAGCTTATGTTCACACAAAAATCTATACTCAGAAGTTTATAGTCGCTCTATTTATAATCATCAAACATTGAAAACACCCAAATGTTTTTTTTTCTTTCTCTTTGTCTTTTTTTGAGACAAGGTCTCACTATGTCACTCAGGCTGGAATATAGTGGCGAAATCACTGCTCACCACAGCTTTGACCTCCAGGGCTCAGGTAATCCTCCCATCTTAGCCTCCCAAGTAGCTGGGACTACAGGCGCACACCATGATGTCTGGCTAATTTTTAGTATTTTTTGTAGATACAAAGTTTTGCCATGTTGCCCAACCTGGTCTCAAGTGATGTGCCCACCTCAGCCTCCCTAAGTGCTGGGATTACAGAATAAGCCACCACACCCAGCCCCAAACATATTTCAAAGAGTGACTGGCAAAACAAATAATGATGCATCAATACGATGGAATACTATTCAGTAATAAAAAAGGAATGAAATATTAATACATGCAAAAACTTGACAGAATCTCAAGGGCATCATGCTAAGTGCAAGCAGCTAGCATCAACAGGTTACATACTGAATGATTACATTTCAGTAACAATGTAGAAAACACAAAACTCCATAGTATGGAGAACAGATCAGTGGTCCCAAAAGATTAGTGGTAAAGGGAAGATGTGACTACAAAGTGATACCACAGGGAATTTTTTCAGGTGTTGAAACTGGTCTGTATCCTGACTGTGATGGTGGGTTACATCAATCTATGCATGTGTGTACCTGTATGACAAGTACACAAAAAATAGACAACTTTACTTTATATTCTATAAAAAATAAAAATTTTTAAATGATATTGTAAAGGAAAAAACACACCCAAGCGCAATGCCTTCACACCTGTAATCCCAGCACTTCAAGAGGCCGAGGCGGGCGGATCACTTGAGGTCAGGAGTTCGAGACCAGCCTGGCCAACCTGGTGAAACCCTGTCTCTACTAAAAATACAAAAATAACTGGGCACGGTGGCAGGCACCTGTAATCCCAGCTACTCAGGAGGCTGAGGCAGAAGAATCACTGGAACCAGGGAGGTGGAGGTTGCAGTGAGCCGAGATCGCGCCATTGCACTCTAGCCTGGGTGACGGAGTGAGACTCTGTCTCAAAACACAAACAAACAAAAAAAGAATAAACATGTACACATGGAGCAATAGCCTATTAACTATGCTATTAACTAAGGAGGGGGTAGTTCATAACACATCACTATGATCCAAATTCTATAAAAATATATTAAACAATAGAAGAGGCCAGGCATGGTAGCTCATGCCTGTAATCCCAGCACTTTGGGAGGCCGAGGCGGGCGGATTGCCTGAGCTCAGGAGTTTGAGAGCAGCCTGGGTAACACAGTGAAACCCCTGTATTTTGTCTCTACTAAAATACAAAAAATTAGCCGGGCATGGCGGCATGAACCTGTAGTCCCAGCTGCTCGGAAGGCTGAGGCAGGAGACTCACTTAAACCCAGAAGGCAGAGGTTGCAGTGAGCTGAGATTGCACCGCTGCTCTCCAGCCTGGGCAACAGAGCGAGACTCTGTCTCCAAAAAAAAATAATACTAATAGAAGAAAGTAAAAAGAAATGCCAAAATGTTAACAATGCCCATCTCTAGGTAATGAAATTATACGTACTTACTTTTTCCTTAGTCTGTCTAACATCCTATAAGGTATGTCCCTTTTAAAACTGAAAATTTCCTTTTTTTTTTTTTTTTTTTTTTTTTGAGACAGGGTCTCACTCTGTTGCCCAGGCTGGAGTGGTGCAATGGCGCAATCTCAACTCACTGCAACCTCTGCCTCCCAGGCTCAAGCAATCCTCCCGCCTCAGCCTCCCAAGTAGCTGAGACTACAGGTGTGTGACAGCACGCCCGGCTAATTTCTGTATTTTTTGTAGAGACAGGGTTTTGCCATGTTGCCCAGGATGGCAAAATTGAAAATTTCAAAGGAAAGAAATTTTAATTAGTTACCAATTCTAATACTTTAAGAAATAATGTACAACCCTAAAAAACTTGCAAAAATGTTACAAGAAATACATTATCTTTTCAAACTGACAATACACTGTAAAACTCCATTTCCACTGACATCTCATCAGACTTCAACGCTATTTTAAAATAGCCTATTAAAAGGTACTATATGCAAAGATCATTCAAAGTCAATAAAGAAGATACAAGCCTGTATCAGAACATCTCCTGTAACCCAAAAATATATACACCTACTATGTACCCACAAGAATTTTTAAAATTTTTTAAAAAGAAGGTACAAAATTAATGTAAGGTTCTCACAAAGCTTTTGATATAATTAACCAAAAATGAAATCATTTAATAAGAGAAAAAATGTTAGTAACACTATAGTATTAAAAGCCAAAATGAGTATTCCTATGAAGCAGAACTCACTGCAAAACAAGTTTGGGAAAGGTCAGTGACTGCACCACAAAGAAAGGGGTAACACATGATAAAATACAACATAAAACACAATGCAGGGACAGTGTTGTTTCAGGCAAGAGAACCAACATCTACTTAAGCACAGAAGAGGTTCTCCAAAAGATACAAAATTACTGGAATTAAGAGTTCCAAGTTATGATTCTCTTCATTCACATTAACCAAAAGTGTCATCAGACCACTTACTTTGCTATAATCTTTAGTATCTGACATCATTTGTTTTGAAAATATAATCACCACGAAAAATTTATCATGGAGAGGGCTCAATCTCTAAAGACCTACTACTCCGTGTAAGATACTTGCTGTGGGGTTTCTTCATATACATTGTTCAATTTATCACAGTTATATCTCTCAACGTCTTGGGACACATAAGTTATATTATTCCTTTAGGATGCTGAACTTGGCACACCCGTGCGTGCTGTGTGTGTGTGTGTGTGTGTATACATACACACATATATATACATACATATATATACATACATATATGCATATATATACACACACATACATACATACATATATATATATATATATATATATATATATATATATATATTTTTTTTTTTTTTTTTTTTAAGAGACAGGGTCTCACTATGTTGCCCAGGCTAACCTGGAACTCCTGGTCTCAAGCAATCTTCTCACCTCAGTCTCCCAAGCAGCTAGGACTACAGGTGTGCAACCTGGCTAAACTGGCTATAGTTAAGTAAAATTTGAAGACTAACTTCCCCAACTGATGTTGGGCAAGAGAACCCTTAACCGTCTGTAAATCAATGGCGCCGGGCGAGATGGCTCATGCCCGTAATCCCAGCACTTTGGGAAGCTGAGGTGGGCGGATCACTTGAGGTCAGGAGTTCGAGACCAGCCTGGCCAATAAGGTGAAACCCTGTCTCTACCAAAAACACAAAAATTAGCCGGGCGTGGTGGTGTGTGCCTGTAGTCCCAGCTACTCGGGAGGCTGAAGCAGAAGAAACGCTTGAACCCGGGAGGCGGAGGGTGTAGTGAGCCGAGATCACACTACTGCACTCCAGCCTGAGCAACAGAGCCAGACTACATCTCAAAAAAAAAAAAAAAAATCAATTGCTACTGCTGCACAAAGGTGCCAATGTGAGAAGCAACTCAGCTACTAATCAATATAATAATCCTACGGTTTGGAACATGTGCCCTTGCGAATTTCTATTTAGAGCTCATATTTGAAATTACTGTTTTCTGTTTAATATAGATGCCAGATATCTCCTGAATGGTAGTCACACAGACATCTTCATCACTCCTTATAGAGCCTACATTTTAAGTCAGCCCAACTCGAATTCCATCCAAATATGAAAATCTATCTAGCTGTTTTTGTCTATTATATAACAGACAAACAGAAATGTCCCCTGGATATCTGTACTGATGCTATCTTGCATCATGCAGATCTTTACTCAAACACCACCTCAAAGAGGCCTTCCCAAGACTACCTAAAAGCACAAATTTAATATACCATCATCCTCATATCAGCTGTAATTTTCCTTATGGCATTAATTACTATAGTATATCAAGAGGTAATTAATGCCATAATGACACAGTGGCTCACACCTGTAATCCCAGCACTTTGGGAGGCCAAGGAGGACAGGTCACTTGAGGTCAGGTGTTCCAGACCAGCCTGGCCAACATGGTGAAACCTTGTCTCTATTAAAAGTACTAAAATTAGCTGGGCATGGTGGTACACACCTGTAATCCCAGCTGCTAAGGAGGCTGATGAAAGAGAATCACTTGAACCCAGGAGGAAGACGTTGAAGTGAGCTGAGATCACACCACTGCACTCCAGCCTGGGAGACAGAGTGAGACTCCGTTTCAAAAGGGGACAGGGGCGGGAAGCTCTCATTTATCCCAGACACACTAAACAAACTTCTCTAAAGTCTAGGGAGTTAGAGAGTTTGAACTCCTGTTTTATTTTTTATTTATTTATTTATTTATTTGGTGTGGGGGACAAAGTCTCGCTATGTCACCTAGGCTGGAGTGCAATGGTGTGATTTCAGCTCACTGCAACCTCTGCCGCCTGGGTTCAAGCGATTCTTCTGCCTCAGCCTCCTGAGTAGCTGGGATTACAGGGGCACACCACCACGCCTGGCTAATTTTTTCTACGTTTAGTAGAGACAAGGTTCCACCATGTTGGCTAGGCTGGTCTCGAATTCCTGACCTTGAGATCCATCCACCTCGGCCTCCCAAAGTGCTGGGATTACAGGCATGAGCCACCATGCCCAGCCAGGGAGTTTGAACTCCTAAACCTAACTGCACATTAGAACCAGCTGGCACACTTCTGAGAAGAAGAAGAAAAAAAAAACAGTATGCCTGGGCTGCACTCCAGGCCACTTAAGTCAGAATACTGGGGCCCAAGCGAGGTATTTTCTTAAAATTTCCCCTGATGATTCTAAATGAACAAAGGTTGAGAACCACTGCCCTGTGCCATCTCCCAGTCTTCTGTCTCTCCTACTTCATAAATCAAAGTAAAAGTACATAAACAAATTATGAAGATTTAAATTCCTGCTGCCCACAATAAATCTTGAAGAAGACATTCCCATCTTCCCCACTCAAAAATTCATTTCCTCTAAAAAGTAAACATAGTATTTACCTCCTCTAAGATGCATCCCTGATTTAACATACTCAAACCTGATGATAATTACTTTTGGGGGGAAGGTGGGGGCAGCAGGGAGACAGTCTCACTCTTCTCGCCCAGACTGGAGTGCAGTGCTGTGATCTAGACTGACTGCAACCTCTATCTCCCGGGTTCCAGCGATTCTCCTGCCTCAGCCTCCCGAGTAGCTGGAATTACAAGTGTACACCACCACACCCAGCTAATTTTTGTATTTTTAGTAGAGACGGGGTTTCACCAAGTTGGCCAGGCTGGTCTCAAACTCCTGAACTGATCTGCCTGTCCTGGCCCCACAAGTGCTGGGATTACACGCGACAGCCATCATGCCCAGCCTAATAATTACTTTTTTTAACAGCGCTGTCCCAGCCACAGACTGTTTTGTTGTTTTTCGTTTTTTTGTTTTTTTTTTGAGATGGTGTTTCACTGTTGTTGCCCTGGCCGGATTGCAATGGTGCAATCTCAGCTCAGTGCAAACCTCTGCCTCCCAGGTTCAAGTGATTCTCCTGCCTCAGCCTCCCGAATAGCTGGGATTACAGGCATGCACCATCACACCCAGCCAATTTTGTATTTTTAGTAGAGACAGGGTTTTACCATGTTGGTCAGGCTGGTCTCGAACTCCGTACCTCAGGTGACCCACCCACCTTGGTCTCCCAAAGTGCTGGGATTACAGGCATGAGCCACCATGCCCAGGCCACAGACTGTTTTATAAAGCAATTACTGTATTCTTTTTATTTGTATCTCTATTATCTCCTGTCTGTATTTCCTTCTTTTTGCAGTTTGTATCTCTATATGATATTCTCTTCTACACCCAAGTTTATCTTAACTTTTTTGTATCCCTTACATTTGAAGTGCTACAGTTCTACAGTATGCAAAAAATTTCTATGTTTAGAAAGGTATTAAAAGCCCCTTTCTCCCCTAGGCTGGAGTGCAGTGGCACAATCACAGCTCACTGCTGCCTGAAGTGCTGGACTCAAGTGATACTCCTGCTTCAGCCTCCCAAGTGGCTGGGCCTACAGGCATGCACCACCACACCCAGCTAATTTTTTTTTTTTTGTAGAGACGGGGTCTCACTATGTTGCCCAGGCTGGTCTCAAACTCCTGGCCTCAGACAATCCTCCCACCTAAGCCTCCCAAAGTGCTGGGATTACAGGCCATTAGCCCATTTTAAAGTTGGTATCTCAGAGAAGTATCTTGCCAAAGGCACCCTTTTCATGAAGCCATCAGCAATACAACACACATATCAGAGAGGTCACTCCTGCTTGCGTCCCCACTGTTCTTACATACTATATTACAGAAATCTATTATTTTTTTAAGTTCTATATATACTTATAGCCAACATTCCTAAGGACAGACTACTAAATGTTTAACAATGTAAGTATAGTTACAACTAGAGATTTTCAGTTTAAAAATAATATCATACATCCACATTTACCTCTGCTCCCTCCCAAGATCCCACTGAAAAGACAGTAAAGGAATAAAGAAGGTATTGAACAAATCCAAAAAGACAAAAAGAACAAGTGAAGAGAAAATAGCAACAAAATTTTTGAAGTTGGAGGGCAAATGGAAAAGCATTAACTAATCTGTTTCCTCTCCTCCCCAAAAATCTTAAAAGCTAAGCCAGCAGGGAAAGAAAGCCCAAAACATTCACGTTGTATTCTTTCTCACATACATAGGTAAAAGAGGTCTAATAATTAAAATTGCTGGCTGGGCATGGTGGCTCATGCCTGTAATCCCAGCACTTTGGGAGACCGAAGCAGGTGGATCACCTGTGGTCAGGAGTCCAAGTCCAGCCTGACCCCATCTCTAGTAAAAAGACGAAAATTACCTGGGCATGGTGGCACGTGCCTGTAATCCCAGCTACTTGGGAGGCTGAGACAGGAGAATCGCTTGAACCCAGGAGGCAGAGTTTACAGTGAGCCAAGACCACATCACTGCACTCCAGCCTGGGCAACAGAGCAAGAATTCATCTCAAAAAATAAATTAAATTAAATTAAATTAAATTAAAAAATAAAATAAATAAATAAAACTGCTTAAAAGCAGTTGTTTTTACAATATTTTCTCAATTAATTAATACTGCAACCAAGCTCCAATCATAATAGGGCCCTAATTTTTTTACCTTAAACTGGGAGTTCTTGTACTTTAAAATATGGGAATCATGGCCAAGGTAGTTCAAATTAACCTTGTTACCTACATAAGGCAGACAAACACTTGTTGAACTGAACTATATAATTTAAGACAACAAAACAAAAAGTAGGACCGGGCACGGTGGCTCACACTTGTAATCCCAGCACTTTGGGAGGCCGAGGCGAGTGGATCACAAGGTCAGGAGTTCGAGACCAGCCTGGCCAACATTGTGAAACCCTGTCTCTACTAAAAATAGAAAAAATTAGCTGGGCGTGCAGGCGCACGCCTGTAATCCCAACTATTCAGGAGGCTGAGGCAGGAGAATCGCTTGAACCTGAGAGGCGGAGGTTGCAGTGAGCTGAGATCGCGCCATTGCACTCCAGCCTGGGCGACAGGGCGACCTCTCAAAAAAAAAAAAAAAGTAACATTTATTGACTGTTTATGGTGAGTCAAGCAGTATTCTGTATGTATCAGTTTATTTAATCTTTACAATAACCCAGTGAGTTAAGTACTAATTATGAAGCACAGAGAGAGGTTAAGCAGTTTGCATAAGGTCACACCTGGAACTTAAATTGTCTGGCTCCAGAGCCAATATTCTATTCTTTCTTAATATCACTAAAGTCAGTCACCAGAAACAGAGCCAAAGTACATATTCATAGCCCAAAAAGAGATTCTGCTAAATTAAGTTTTTATAAAAACTCAAATGCATTCATAAGACATCTTCTAGGGCTATTGAGATCCGAATTCTATATCATGTTTATCTCTCAAAGAATAGTTGAGAGTAGGAATGCCGCATGTACCGAAGTTAGCCAGGAATTAGAACTGTTTTGAATCATTTACAGTTTCCATCACTGGGAGACTGCACATTTTAGCCAAAAAAAATTATTTCTTGAGGACTATGCAGGCACCATGACCTCTCAGAGCAGGCAGCTCTGGGCCTGAAGTTTGATCAAGAAGCTCTTACATCAGGAAAGAAAAAAAAAAAAAAAACACCCGATCTAAACCTCACTGAAGCTACAGTAAAGTACAAAGATCTTCCTCTTATTTATGACCACATACAAATTTCTCAAATCAAAGTCATTATCTGTATTACTGAGGGACTGACTCTAAAAACCCAGTGGAAAAAAAAAAGTCACTATCTATATAGGAAAAGAAAAAAGATACAAAGAAATGTAAAACTGGAGTGTTTGTCTAAGAACACTGAGCAGGGCTGGGCACGGTGGCTCACGCCTGCAATCCCAGCACTTTGGGAGGCCAGGGCGGGCGGATCACGAGGTCAGGAATTCCAGACCAGCCTGACCAACATGGTGAAACTCCATCTCTACTAAAAATAGAAAAAAAATTAGCCAGGCATGGTGGCGCACACCTGTAATCCCAGCTACTCAGGAGGCTGAGGCAGGAGAATCGCTTGAACCCGGGAGGCAGAGACTGCGCCATTGCACTCCAGCCTAGGCAACAGAGCAAGACTCCATCTCAATATGTAAATAAAATAAAATAAAATAAAAACACTGAGCAGGTTTTTTCTTCTTCACTGCAACACAGATCTGGAATTCACTTCGGAAACTGAAGAGACATGACTGTCTCCTACCCATATACTGCCATATCCATTGATTAATACCTGCACACATATACCTTCACTTACATATGTATATATACTACATAAACAAATCTGTATACACACAGAACTAGTAATACAACTATCTTAACTTCATTCTGACATTTAGCCACACCAATACACTAAAAGATATTTATCCAAACACAGATTACTGTATATTTGTTACAAACATTTATATTTCCATCTACATCTGCCTATCCTCTATGTATAAACATTTAGTGAACATTTTTTAAAGTAATCACGAGGAGTGTGGCAATATTGACCAAGCAGCCAAGAGACTCAAAGGAATTAGCATTTGCTGAGCATCCCCTATTTTACATTTGTCATGCACTGTTAGGCACTTTTAACATGTTTGACCACTTAGTCTTCCCCACCATCCTATTAAACATTAATCTTAATTTACAGATGAGGAAGCTGAGGTTCAGGAGGTTTAAGTAGTGAGTTCATAAAAGAACTAAAATTCAAAATTCAGGACTACCTAACATAAAGCGCATGCTCTCTCCACATAATCTCAAAAAAGCTTATAAAAAAGACAAACGGTATAAAATGTACTACACTGGGGAGGGGCATTATTTCAGGAAGTAAGAGAAATCATCACCCCCAGTAATTAAGTAAGAGAACACCTTAACAATATCTTACTCTCACAAAAAAGCAAAATCTAGATGGGTTCTGTAGGATGGTGGAAAGTGGTAAATCACAAAAAAACCTTAGGAAGTTCAAAGTTCAGTTTAAGTCCAAAAACTGAATATAAAAAAAGCTTTAAGTAAAAAAGAAAAAAAAAGCAAGGTTTTCTTGTTTTTGTTTGTTTGTTTGAGACAGAGTCTTGCTCTGTTGCCCAGGCTGGCACAATCACAACTCACTGAAGCCTCAACCTCCCAGGTTCAAGCAATCCTCCCACCTCAGCCTCCCGAGTATCTGGGACTACAGGTGTGCACCACCATGCCCAGCAAATTTTTTTATTTTTTTCTAGAGACAAGGTCTCACTATGTTGCCTAGGCTGGTCTCCAACTACTGGGCTCAAGCGATCCTCCTGCCTCAGCCTCCCAAGGTGCTGGGACCCCAGGCATGAGCCACAGCACCAGGCCAAAAGCAAGGTATTTACAGGGAATTAAAGTAGATAAGACAAACATTTTTGGGGCACTTGTCTGGTAAGTACACTGCTGCAAACACTTTACATGCATAATCACTTAATTCTCACAATTAGTACAATTATCCTCATTTTGCAAATAAGGAAACTGGAACAGAAATATTAAATAATTTAGTCAAGGTGTTTAAAAATTTAGACAGGTGTTTAAAAATTAAAATAATTCTGTGTAATGGGATGAATTTAAAAAAAAAAAAATTTTTAAGACACTGGGATCTTAACCCAAGCTATCTGTGTCCAGAACCAAGCTCCTTTCTAACTATTATGCTAAATTTCATGAACAAACAATAGCTAGGGTGAAGGACATATCTAGTAATATGAACAGTATGGTCAAGTGGTGTGTAGCTTTTTTATTTTTAAAACCCAAAGTCAGGCTGGGTGAGGTGGCTCATGCCTGCAATCCCAGCACTTTGGGAGGCCGAGGCAGGCAGATCATGAGGTCAAGAGATCGAGACCATCCTGGCTAACATGGTAAAACCCCATCTCTACTAAAAATACAAAAAAAAATTAGCCGGGTCTGGTGGGGGGCACCTGTAGTCCCAGCTAGTTGGGAGGCTGAGGGAGGAAAATGGTGTGAACCTGGTAGGCGGAGCTTGCAGTGAGCCGAGATCACACCACTGCACTCCAGCCTGGGCGACAGAGCGAGACTCTGTCTCAAAAAAAAAAAAAAACAAAGTCAGCAAATAAACATATAAAAAGAGACAAATAAGCATATGAAAAGATGCTCAACATCATGTCATTAGGAAATTACAATTTTAAAAAAGGAGATACCACTACACAACTACTAAAACGGCCAAAATATAAAACCCCCAAATGCTGGTGAGGAAGTAGAACATTCATTGCTGATGAGAATACAAAATGGTACACAGCCACTAAGAGTCTGTCAGTTTCTTACAAAAGTAAACATACTCTCACATGCAACCCAGCAATTGAGCTCCTTAGTATTTACCCAAATGATTTGAAAACTTATGTCTACACAAAAACCTGCACACAAATGTTTACAGCAGGTTTATTCATAATTGCCAAAACATGGAAGCCAGCAAGATGTCCTCCGGTATGTGAATGGATAAACTGTGCTACATCCAGACAATGGAATATTATTTAGCGCTAAAAAGGAATGAGCTATCAAGCCATGAAAAGACAAGGAAGAACTGTAAATGCATATAGATAAAGAAGGCAACCTGAAAAGTCTACAAACGGTATAAATACAACTATGACATTCTGAATAAGGCAAAACTATGAAGACAGTAAAAAGATCAGTGGTTGCCAGCAGGGAGAGGGGAGGGAACAGTTGGGGGGAAAAGGAAGGGAAGGATGAATAGGCAGAGCAGGGGATCTTTAGGGTAGTGAAACTATTCTTTATGATAGTACAATGGTGGATACATGTCACTATACATTGTCCAAACCCACAGCCTGTACAACACCAAGAGTAAATCCTAATGTAAACTATGCACTTTGGGAGATGATGATTGTTAGTGCTAAGATCACGGATGGTAACATACCACTCTGGTGCAGAATACTGATGGGTGGGAGGCTGTGTGAGCACAGAGATAGAGGGCATATGGGAACTGTCTGTACTTTCTGCTCAATTTTGTTGTTAACCTAAAACTGCTCTAAAAAAGAAACACATATTTAAACAAAAAAAAAGTCAAGGAATGTGTTTACTTAGCAATTAGTATATAAGGAAGTACTAATATACTCATTGTTATATATGCATCCAATCAAAAATACTCGAGTTTATACTGTATATATTAGGGCTGGGCGCGGTGGCCCAAACCTGTAATCCCAACACTTTGGGAGGCCAAGGTGGGCAGATCACTTGAGGTCAGGAGTTCGAGACCAGCCTGGCCAACATGGTGAAACCCTGTCTCTACTAAAAATAAAAAATAAAAATAAAAAAAATTAGCCAGGTCTGGTGGTGTGTACCTGTAATCCCAGCTATTCAGGAAGGTGAGGCAGGAGGACTGCCTGAGCCAAGGAGGCAGAGGCTACAGTGAGCCGAGATCGCATCACTGCACTCCAGCCTGGGCCACAGAGTGACACTCTGTCAAAGAAACAATAATAATAAATAAATATATACATACACACACACATACACACACACTGTATATTAGGCATCCTGGGGAAGGGATATATAAACAAATAAACAAAGTACCTCCCCACAAGGAGCTTGAAATATGAGACAGACCTCATATATTTACAAAAAGCTAAATAAAATGGAATTTAAACTTAAATAGTTCAAGACGGTTGAAAAAATACCACAAAATACTAACCTGCCAGATTACTAAAATGGACACTAATAGGACCATATGTGCTTAGGGCTTCAGTCATTTCTGGCTAAAGGGATCAGGAAGTTAAGATACGCTCTAGGTCTTGAAAATGACTAAGACTTAGCTAAATGACTGGAGCGAATTGGTGCATTCCAAGAAAGAACAAAACTACTGTAGTTAGGAAAAAGAATTAAATGGACCATTTCACAAAACTTATAAATAAGGAGACAAGACTAGAGAGACTAGTAAAAGCCAGATCACGCAGCTCAGAGCTTCAAAAATCTTCACTCTTAAATACTGACAGGGAGCAAATACTTACCCAGCCTGTGTATATACTGATAGCTCTTAATCCAGTTAAACTGTATTTATAAACATTTTATATCAGATACAGATAATATAAAGACATATACTAGTAGTCATAGTTAAAAATTCACTGTCTTTGCCACTCAATACATATACATACAAGTCCTGTTCCCATCCTTCAACTGCAAATCTACAGGCAACCCATAACCCTATAAACTGAACCCCAGGCGTCCATAAGACCTATTACTGTATCACCTAGTCTTTATCCCCTCAGACACAGATGTCTTTCCTCTGTGGTAGAAAAGAAAGTGGCCCATTGCCCATAAACGGGAAAGAGGGATTATGTTAGGACCATGATCGCTACTGGCATCTTCTCTCTACTCTATTTATAGGGCTGTCACCCTCTATTAATCATTAAAAGCAAACTTACTAAATACCTGCAGATTCTAAGTAAAACATAAAATGCAGCATTCCCTCCTCAATCATCTGAACTGGGGCAAATAGGACCCTATACAACCTCTGATAATTATTATTAATAACAAACTTCTGGCCAGGTGGGACAGCTCATGCCTGTAATACCAGCACTTTGGGAGGCTGAGGTGGGAGGATCATTTGAGGCCGGAAGTTCAAGACCAGCCTGGGCAACACAGCAAAACCCCATCTCTACAAATACGAATAAATTTTACAAATAATAATAAATTTCACTTCTCATATATGAAAATGTTTCAGAATGCATCCATTGTTAACTTCCAAATTTTTTCTGTAATCCTTCATTCCGTTCACTATAAACCCTTCTACATATTTTAATTCACATACTCAATCTTCATGCATGGGGACCTGCAATTGTATCCAATCCCGAACTCTTCTAATCAACAGATGCCCCAACAAAACCTGTTATCCCAAATCAATGCTACATTTTACTTATCTACCTACACCTTCATGTTATACATCTAAAACCCTCCTCTTTAGTAATCTACCACTAAAGTGAATATTGTCTTTCCTTCCATGTACAGGCACATAAATATATGTCCAATTTCCCCAACCAACAAATCCTGACACACATTATTATTCTCAAACATGGCCTCCAGACATAAAAAGCACACCATAAAATTCCTCTTTCTATCCAAAACACTTGAATACTTTTGTTAATGACTTTCTTTAGAAATCCTAGTACATATACCACTTATTCCAAGTTAAAAATCACAAAAATACTACATCCTCAAGATAGAAACATATACTAGAAAGTGTAGACATATATGAAAAGGATAAAATCAAATTAAAGATAACGTTTATGAAGAGGGAGGATTGGAGAAATGCAGTCCAGGAGAGATTCAGCTGAGATTTTAATCCTATTTGTAAAGTTTTATTTCTTAACCTGAGTTGGGGATGCATGGTGTTCACTGTAATTACTCTTCATACCTTTTCATACTTGAAATACTTTTAAATGACTTTTAAAAAGAAAGACATCCAATTACCAATGAGCATCTCCCTCTTACACACAGTGAGAAGCCATTATGTCCAAGTTGCAGTAACTGTTCACTGCTACATCTGGGCCACCCCATCATTTACCTAAGCCAAGAAAAGAAAAAATTACAAACCTACCTCCCAAAACTTTCTCTTAGATATGTTCCAAGTTTATATCCTGAAACTATACATAATCCAATTCTTTCACAACTCTCACATCAACAATAATTAACATGTCTAATTTCACGTTTGCATCCCTAAATTGCCATTTACTCTTACAAATGCCTTATTACTCACATAGTAAACTTTTCCTTGTTCGTCTACGTTAAAATACAAGTGAATTGGTTGACCACATAACTACTTCCACTTGGCTAAACGCAGACAGTTGTATACATTACATCTCTATGCAGGAGTCCGATTCACTCATACACTAACTTTTCAATCTAAACCTACAACATCCAAATTAAGCCACCCATCATTTAACCACAAATGAAATGTCATCTCCGCCAAATCTAACTCAGCCAGGGCCATTCCAAAACCACTCCAGTCCGTCCACTGAGCATACACCTCACGCATCTGAAAGTCCCGTCCCTGGACCAAGGTTTACGCCACCCAGAAGTGCTCTCCTCCAATGGTGAGACTCAGACACACCTTCAAATCCTAATTTTCGGCTCGCTGTGGGAAAACAAGTAGAGACAGCCTGAAGTTACAAACCCAAAGGAATCTATTTCATACACCACAGGTCCTGACTTTCTCGTCACTGGGGCGTAGAAGTTGGAAGCCCCGAGCAAGGGGACCAGGTCTAGTCGTCTTCGGCGTCCGCAGAGTCCTACAGTCGTCGACCAAGCAGTTCAGGCAGCTGGCCCGCCTACTTCCCTCCCCACCCCCACCACGACCCACCCCACCCCCACCCCACCCCCACCCCCACGCTGGGCGCACAGCCCGCGGTCTGTCCCCCGCACTGCGGGACCTGAGAACAGCAGACTGCCGGCTCCTCTCCCACAAGGGAGGGCTTGGTTGCCGGCTCAGACGCTCCCCGCCCCTCGCCTCCGGCCACCAGCCTCTCCGCCCGGGGTCAACCCTTCCAGCCTTTCGCTCTCATCTAACCGGACGCAGGACCGACAGCCTCTCCAGGGCCTACCCGGGCCTCGCTTCCTCCGGTGCCAAGCTCCAAGGTCTCCTCACCTCTCGCGGAGGACCAAGCCAGACCGGACGCTCCAGGCCCGAAAGGCAACTCCCCTCCCACCACTCCCTGACTCGCCGGTCTTTCCTCCCAACTGCAGCCGCTGAAAAAGCCAAGTCCTAAGGTCCCCCTCCATCAGCTTCCGGGCCTCCCTTCACGGCTGGGCCCGAACCCCCAGCCCTGCCCTCTCGCCATCTCGCTTCCCCGAGTCGCGAGGCCGAGCCCCGGGGCTGGACGGCTTCTTTCCCCGGCTTCGCGCCCGCCCGGCGTGCGGAAGACTCACCACTGAGCGCGGAGGCCTGCAGTGTGGCCCCCGAGGTGCCGTCGATGACTTTGATGGTCCCGCGGCTAGTGACGGCCAGGATGGCGTTGAGCGCAGGGTGGTAGGACAGGCTGTGCAGCCCGTCGGCGTCGCAGTGCATGCAGCCGTCCCGCAGCACCAGCCACTCTGAGACCCCGGCCGCCCCCGCCCCCGCCGCCGAGGAGCAGCCGGGGCCCGAGGCCGCCGCAGCCGCAGCCGCCATCTTCCGGCCTGCGCTCAGCACAATCACACTGGGAAGCGGCTCAGTGACAGTCCCGGGAGGTGCAGCACCACCACCAGTCACCATCCGGGGCCAGGGGGCAAGCCGAGCGCGTTAGCCGGAAGTGAAGTCAGGCGCCCGCACGCACGCGGAACGTCGATCGCCCGGCCGGAGGGGCCAAACTCGGAGGGAGGCTGACGGGAGAGGGGGAGAAGCAGGGAGGGAGGCGGGGCCCGGGGCGCGGGCTGGAGGCCGGCGGGTGGAGCATGCGCGGGAGGGCTCGCGCGTGCCACGCGCCGCGGGTCTGGCCAGTTCCGCGTCCGCAGCGTCCCAGTTTCTTCCTGTGAGCCTGGGGAGTGGCGGCTGCCGAGTCCGCCCCGCTCCTCGCGGGGGCAGGGGGAGGGGTTGGCCTCCGTGCATTTCCGCTAGGTGGGGACCCCCGCCCTTGCGACCTGTCCGGTACGCCCGGAGGCCTTTTGCAGCGGTTCCAGCTGCGCCTTGACCGTTCCCGGTACGCACGGTGCAGCTGTTCGGCCGTGGCCGGAAGCGGACCTCTGGGTCTCGGTCACGGCTCTGGTGTGAGAATAAACAATCAGAAGCCTCTCGTTTGGATTGGAAGGAACCGAGCGACCTTCCCAAACCTGTACCTTTTACCACGCCTGCCCTCCCCATTCCCAAGGCTTTCTGTTGAACAGAAGTACCAGATACGAGGTGCTGGAAGCGCATAGTTAAGCTTAGTTTCTCTATCCACATTCCAAACAACCCGAGTTACCGGAATTAATAGGAGTGTGGGTCTGTGTGAGTGTGTGGTGGGGTGTGTTGGAGGTCTAGAAAGGACTAATCAATTTACTAATCATCCCCCCTTGGAGAATTTTTTTAAAACTTTTTATTTTGAAATAGATTACAGTTGAAAATATACTACAGACCTCTGTGGTCTTTCTCTCCAAAAGCCATAACCCCTATCTAACTATGAGAAAACCATTTGACAAACCCAAACTGTAGGACATTATTTTTATAAAATACCTAAACACTACTCAAAGATAGTACAGAGAGATCCAATTTACTCTTTACCCAGTTTCCCCCAATGGTTGCATATTACATAATTCTAGTACAATCTCAAAAGGAGGGATTTGATAGTTGTATGATGTGTGTATAGTTCAATGTCATTTTATCACATGTAGACCTACGCACCATAGTCAAGATGCAGAGTTGTATGTTCTATATGTTTTGTGATCATTAGGTTATTTTGGAAAGAACTAGTTTTCCTTAAAAACCTAATCAAAGATCTGTTGTGAGGATTAAGAATCATTTGTAAAATGTGTAGAAGAGCATCTGACAAGTATATACTACGTGCTCAATAAAAATTATAAAAGTTAATTGCCCTCTCACATTCATGCGAACTTCCTTCAGGAAATCTTCATGGATTACCTGAACTACATCTTAAACTATTAGCCATCAGGCTACATCTGAAACACTTAGAGATTTGACTGTATTCCTCTCTTCTTGGGGGTCCCTAAAATACACTGAAGTTCCTGGGCCTGCCAGAGAGTGACATTCCTTACTCATCTGTGGTTCTTTTTTTTTTTTTTTTTTGGCTTTTTTGTTTGTTTTTGTTTGTTTATTGAGACGGAGTCTCACTCCGTCGCCCAGGCTGGAGTGCAGTGGCGTGATCTCAGCTCACTACAACTTCTGCCTCTTGGATTCAAGCAATTCTCGGCCTCAGCCTCCTGAATAGCTGGGATTACAGGCACCTGCCACCACGCCTGGCTAATTTTTTTTTTTTTTTTTTTTTGTATTTTTAGTAGAGATGGGGTTTCACCATCTTGGCCAGGTTGGTATTGAACTCCTGATCTCGTGATCCACCTGCCTCGGCCTCCCAAAGTGCTGGGATTACAGGTGTGAGCCCCCGCGCCCGGCCACTCAGGCCACTCACCTGTAAGTCTGGGAACAATCAGGCCAGTTTTTCAAACGAAGACTTTATTGGCTCCATAAAGTCAACCATAGCTCCTTAATGCCATCTGGTCATGTTTGAAAATATGACATTCCAGTCAAAACCTGGTTAATACAACCAGTGCCTCCAATTATGTCTTGTTACAGGAGAACACATTTTTATAGAAATTATGCAAATAACTATATTGCCATAAAAATAGGAATACTTGGCCGGGTGCGGTGACTCATACCTGTAATCCTAGCACTTTGACTAGCCTGGCCAACATAGTGAAAGCCCATCTCTACTAAAAATAGAAAAAAATGAGCCGGGCCTGGTGGCGGGCACCTGTAGTCCCAGCTACTAGGGAGGCAGAGGCAGGAGAATCACTTGAACCCTGAAGGCGGAGGTTGCAGTGAGCAGAGATCGTGCCACTGCACTCCAGCCTGGGCGACAGAGCGACAATCTGCCTCAGAAAAAAAAAAAAAAAAGAAAATGGGACAAGTTGAGTTTACCTACTTAGTAAGGGCTAAAGCTTTTTACCAATATTTGTGGAAAATTCTTTTTACTTTTTTTTTTATTTGCCCTGTTTCAAAACAGTCTCATTTTTTTCTCTCTTTTCAGCCTCAAGTGATTGATTTGGAGGGTCCTCTCAGTCCCTTCAGAGCCCCCAGTGGAGGGTAGGGAGCCTAAAGTGCAAGTGACTGTGGGGCTGGAGTGAGAAGGGAAAGGATCTGGCAGTGGTGGACAAAGTTGGCAAAGGTTATAATCAGTAGGGATTTCTGGTTTCAGAGAAGAAGGGTTTCAGGTGACAGAATTTCCCATGGGAGAAGCAAGATCCAATAGAGAGAATACAGAGGCTTCACAGAGAGCCAGAAAGAACATCCAGCCCAGAAGGTACCTTTCAAAAGAAGCCTGGGACTGTAACACAGTTTCAGAGAATATACTTTTCTTTCCTTTTTTTTTTGAGACGAAGTCCCGCTCAGTCGCCCAGGCTGGAGTGCAGTGGCGCGATCGCGGATCACTGCAGGCTCCGCCTCCCGGGTTCACGCTATTCTCCTGCCTCAGCCTCCCGAGTAGCTGGGATTATAGGCACCAGCCACTACGCCCGGCTAATTTTTTGTATTTTTAGTAGAAATGGGGTTTCACTGTGTTAGCCAGGATGGTCTCGATCTCCTGATCTCGTGATCCACCCGCCTCGGCCTCCCAAAGTGCTGGGATTACAGGCGTGAGCCACCGCGCCCGGCGTTTTTTTTCCTTATTTTAAGAGACAGCGTCTTACCGTGTCACCTAGGCCAGAGTCAGTGGCATGATCATAGCTCACTGCAGCCTCAAACTCCTGGGCTCAAGCGATCCTCCTGCCTCAGCCTCCTAAGTAGCTGGAATTACAGGTGCAAGCCACCAAACCCAGCCAGAGTATACTGATACCTTAAGAATCCACATCTGTTCTTACCAGCTTTGGCAGACATTTGTCTTGAGCAATGGTTCAGGAATCTGATTCACCAAGGAACAATGTAGGGGGTCAGTAGATAGAAAATTACTAAGAGGAAACCTCAGGGGTAAGTGAAACTCTGGCCAAATCAATCTAACAGGATTCTTGCTGAAGACAGGCCACAGTGATCAGACATCACCTGGGAGATGGTGGAGGATGAGGAGCCTGATCAGATATGGAGGAAGAGGGGTTCTTGCTAAACTGACTTAGCTCAGTTTTCTGCTAAAACTAGACTTTACAAGGAAGTGCACGGATGGACCTAGCAGAAGATTCAGAAGTCTGACTAAAGTTTGGCCAAAGAATCTTTGTCATAGTAAAGTCTGGATGAATATCTGATTTTCATAACTGTAGCATCATTGATCACCTCTATGAACTTGGGCTAGTCATACATTTTGAGACTGTTTCACCAAGTGTCAAACGGAGATGATAAAATTTCTTGCCCTAGTCATTTAGGTTTGTTCTAAGTACTTCTGAAAGTACTTGTAAATGGTAAAAATTGAAAAACAGGGCCAGACACGGTGGCTCACGCCTGTAATCACAGCACTTTGGGAGGTTGAGGCGGGCGGATTACTTAAGGTCAGATGTTTGAGACCAGCCTGGTCAAAATGGTGAAACTCTGTCTCTACTGAAAATACAAAATAGGCCGGGCACGGTGGCTCACGCCTGTAATCTCAGCACTTTGGGAGGCCAAGGCAGGCGGATCACGAGGTCAAGAGATCAAGACTATCCTGGCCAACATGGTGAAACCCTGTCTCTACCAAAACTACAAAAAATTAGCTGGGCATGGTGGCACGTGCCTGTAGTCCCAGCTACTCTGGAGGCTGAGGCAGGAGAATAGCTTGAACTTGAGGCAGAGGTTGCAGTGAGCCGACATTGTACCACTGCACTCCAGCCTGGCCACAGAGCAAGACTCTGTCTGAAAAAAAAAAGAAGAAAATACAAAATAATTAGCCAGAAATGGTGGCAGGCACCTGTAATCCCAGCTACTGGGGAGACTGAGGCAGAAGAAACGCTTGAACCCGGGAGGTGGAGGTTGCAAGGAGCCAAGATCGCGCCACTGCACTCCAGCCTGGGGGACAGAGCAGGACTCCAGCTCAAATAAATAAATAAATATTGAAACACAGAGAGGTGAAATGGCTTCTCCATCGTCTCACGGTTTCTGGGGCTGGGGTAGAAATAACCTGGATTTTGAGCTCCAGCAGTTTGATTCGAGAACTTGTACTTCCAACTTAACCCTCTTGTTCAAAACTTCAGGGCCTTGAGGTGAAAGACTGTAAATAATCAAATCTAAATATAAGTGGGGTGTCGTTTTAAAACAGTTTTTAAAATCTTTAGGATAGGCCGGGCGTGGTGGCTCACGTCTGTAATCCCAGAACTTTGGGAGACTAAGGCAGGCGGATCACCTGAGGTCAGGAGTTCAAGACCAGCCTGACCAATATGGTGAAATCCCATCTCTACTAAAAATACAAAAATTAGCTGGGTGTGGTGGCACATGCCTGTAATCCCAGCTCCTCGGGAGGCTGAGGCGGGAGAATCGCTTGAACCCAGGAGGCAGAGGTTGCAGTGAGCCATGATCGCCCCACTGCACGCAAGCCTGGGTGACAGAGGAGACTCTGTCTCCAAAATAAAAATAAATAAAATCTTTAGGATATAGTCGGGCACGGAGGCTCATGCCTGTAATCCCAGCACTTTGGGAGGCCGAGACAGGCAGATCACGAGGTCAGCAGCTTGAGACCATCCTGGCTAACACGGTGAAACCCCATCTCTACTAAAAATACAAAAAAATTAGCCGGGCGTGGTGGCAGGTGCCTGTAGTCCCAGCTACTCAGGAGGCTGAGGCAGGAGAATGGTGTGAACCTGGGAGGTGGAGCTTGCAGTGACCCGAGATTGCGCCACTGCACTCCAGCCTGGGCGACAGAGCAAAACTATGTCTCAAAAAAAAAAAAAAAATCTTTAGGATATAAGTAGAGGCCAGACACGGTGGCTCACACCCATAATTCAAGCACTCTGGGAGGCTGAGGCAGGTGAATCACCTGAGGTCAGGAGTTCAAGACCAGCCTGGCCAACACGGCAAAACCCCGTCTCTACTAAAAATACAAAACTTAGCTGGGTTCAGTGGTTTGTATTTTTAGTAGACACCCCGTCTCTACTAAAAACACAAAAATTAGCTGGGCACCTGTAATCCCAGCTACTTGGGAGAGTAAGGCATGAGAATCGTTTGAACCCAGGAGGCAGAGGTTGCAATGAGCCGAGATCGCCCCACTGCACTTCAGCCTGGGAAACAGAGCAAGACTCTGTCTCAAAAAATAGATATAAAATAATAATAATAATAATAATAATAATAATAATAGGATATAAGTAGAAACCATAAAAACTGCCATTTCAAAGTTTTAATCTCTCAGTATCTCATCTAGCCAATCTTTTTCTTTAATCTGAAAGATTCCCCCGAATAGCCGGGCTCGGTGGCTCACGCCTGTAATCCCAGCACTTTAAGAGGCCAAAGCGAGTGGAGGTGAGGAGTTCCAGACCATCCTGACCATCGTGAAAACCTGTCTCTATTAAAATACAAAAATTAGCCAGGCATGGTGGTGCATGCCTGTAATCCCAGCTACTCAGGAGGCTGAGGCAGGAGAATCACTTGAACCTGGGAGGCGAATGCTGCAGTGAACCAAGACAGTGCCATTGCACTCCAGCCTGGGCAATAGAGTGAGACTCCATCAAAAAAAAAAAAAAGATTCCCCTGAATAAGTCTCCAATGCAATTCAAGCCCCTCATTTTAATTTGTTTCTATTTTTTAAATTAATTTTTCTATTTATTTATTTATTTATTTATTTATTTATTTATTTATTTATTTATTTTGAGATGGAGTGTCACTTTGTTGCCCAGGCTGGAGTGCACTGGCATAATCTCAGCTCCCCTTCTGGGTTCAGGTGATTCTCCTGCCTCAGCCTCCAGAGTAGCAGGGATTATAAGCTCGTGCCACCATGCCTGCTGATTGTTTTGTTTTGTTTTGTTTCGTTTTGTTTTGTTTTGTTTCGAGACGGAGTCTCGCTCTGTTGCCAGGCTGGAGTGCAGCGGCACGATCTCAGCTCACTGCAACCTCCACCGTCCAGGTTCAAGCGATTCTCCTGCCTCAGCCTCCCTAGTAGCTGGGACTACAGGCGCACCACCACACCCAGCTAAGTTTTGTATTTTTTTTTAGTAGAGACGGAGTTTCACCATGTTGGCCAGGATGGTCTCCATCTCTTGACCTCATGATCCGCCTGCCTCAGCCTCCCAAAGTGCTGGGATTATAGGCGTGAGCCACCATGCCTGGCCTGATTTTTGTAATTTTAGTAGAGACGGGGTTTCACCACATTGGCCAGGCTGGTCTCGAACTCCAGACCTCAGGTGATCCACCCGCCTCGGCCTCCCATAGTGCTGTGATTACAGGCGTAAGCCACCGCACCCAGCCTATTTTTATTTTTATTTTTTGAAACAGGGTCTTAGCCAGGTGCTGTGGCTCACACCTGTAATCCCAGCACTTTGGGAAGCCAAGGCGGGTGGATCACCTGAACTCAGGAGTTTGAGACCAGCCTGGGCCTACAAACACTTTAATTCAAGGAATCTGAGCCTGGGTCCTGAATCTCTTAACTGTAGTCTTTAAGGTCTCAGCAAGTTTTCAAACAGAAATACATATTCGTGGCCGGGCGTGGTGGCTCACGCCTGTAATCCCAGCACTTTGGGAGGCCAGGGTGGGCGGATCACGAGGTCAGGAGATGGAGACCATCCTGGCTAACACGGTGAAACCCCGTCTCTACTAAAAAATACAAAAAATTAGCCAGGCGTGGTGGCGGGCACCTATACTCCCAGCTACTCAGGAGGCTGAGGCAGGAGAATGGCATGAACCCAGAAGGCGGAGCTTGCAGTGAGCAGAGATCATGCCACTGCACTCCAGCCTGGGTGATAGAGCCAGACTCTGTCTCAAATATAAATAGATAAATAAAATTTTAAAAAATTAAAAAAATAGAGTGTTTGTAAAGGCCAGGCGTGGTGACTCACACCTGTAACCCCAGCACTTTGGGAGGCCAAGGCAGGAGGATCACTTGAGGTCAGGAGTTTAAGACCAGCTTGGGCAACATAGCGAGACCCTGTCTCTACAATAAAAAATTATTTGGACATGGTGGTGCGTGCCTGTAGTCCCAGCTACTCAGGAGGCTGAGGTGGGAGGATCGTTTGAGCCTGGGAGGTTGAGGCTTCAGGGAAATGTGGTCATGCTACTGCACTTCAGCCTGGTGGCAGAGTGAGACCCTGCCTCAAAAAAATAAAAAATAAATGATTGTAAACATAGAATTGGGGAAGACTGGGTGAAATTCACCATCAGCTGTGTTGTTGATATCTTGTTGCACGTGGTTTTGACAGCAAATACCCTCAACATTGAGAAATGTACTGATTTTCATGACTAGTCTATTTTGAAGTGATGGCCTTTTAAGGGACCACAGCCAAACCATTTTGGGCAGAGGTGGTGAGCACCTTAAGGGAAGTAGAAATTCCTTCATATTGACACTCATTCCGCAAAGAGGAATTTGCTGAAATCAGAAACATGGACTCAGAAAGCAGGTCTGATTGAAGCAGAAAAGCGTTTGAAAAAAAAAAAATCCAACACTCATTTCTCCAGCCTGGGCGAGAGAGCAAGACGCCGTCTCAAAAAAAAAAAAAAAAAAAAAAAGGAAAAAGAAAAGAAAAGAAAGATGGCCAGGCACAGTGGCTCACGCCTGTAATCCCAGCACTCTGGGAAGCTGAGGTGGGCAGATCACAAGGTCAGGAGATCGAGACCATCCTGGCTAACACAGTGAAACCCCGTCTCTACTAAAAATATAAAAAATTAGCCAGGCGTGGTGGCAGGCACCTGTAGTCCCAGCTACTCGGGAGGCTGAGGCAGGAGAATGGCGTGATCCTGGGAGGCGGAGTTTGCAGTGAGCCGAGATTGCACCACTGCACTCCAGCATGGGTGACAGAGCGAGACTCCGTCTCAAAAAAAAAAAAAAGAAAAGAAAGAAAAAAAGAAAGGAAGGAAGGGGGGGAGGGTGGGAGGGAGGGCAGTCGGGCACAGTTGCTCACGCCTGTAATCTCAGCACTTTGGGAGGCCCAGGTAGGCGGATCACGAGGTCAGGAGTTCCAGACCAGCCTGGCCAACATGGTGAAACCCTGTCTCTCCTAAAAATACAAAAATTAGCTGGACATGGTGGCACATGCCTGTAATCCCAGCTACTCAGGAGGTTGAGGCAGGAGAATTGCTTGAACCCGGGAAGCAGAGGTTGCAGTGAGCTGAGATCACACACCACTGCACTCCAGCGTGGGCAACAGAGCAAGACTCTGTCTCAAAAAAAAAAAAAAAAAATTTAGAAACATAAAAGCCAGGCGCGGTGGCTCACGACTGTAATCCCAGCACTTTGGGAGGCCGAGGTGGGCGGATCACGAGGTCAGGAGATGGAGACCATCCTGGCAAATACAGTGAAACCCCGTCTCTACTAAAAATACAAAAAAAAAAAAAAAAAAAAAAACCACACATGAAAAGAGAACAAGCAGAGATTCTCACCTCCCATTCTCCACCCCTAGTGCAGTACTGGTGAGGGTCACGCAGTTAGAAGGAAGAGTAGGTGCTGAGGCCTAAAAAGAAAAACTGCTGATGGTGATTGGCAGAGTGGTAGGAAAGGGCTCTGAAGGCCTGTGTCTGGAGCAGTGAGAAAAAAGCATAACTGATTTTGGAGCTTAAAGAACAAGCACCACCCCTGAAGATTCCCTTGTAAATACCAGGGAAGACTCTGAAAGGGTGGCTGAGGTCATATCATGGGAGCCAGAATTTGGGCACATTGATACTACACTGTAAAACCCACAATATGCACACGCACACTATTGAGCCATATGGAAACATTGCACTAGGCTGGTAATGGTTGCTCACACCTGTGATCCCAACACTTTGAGAGGCCAAGGCAGGTGGATCACTTGAGCCTAGGAGTTAGAGATCAGCCTGGGCAACATGGTGAAACCCTATCTCTACTAAAAAATACAAAGGCTGGGCATGGTGGCTCACGCCTATAATCCCAGAACTTTGGGAGGCGGAGGCAGGTGATCACCTGAGGTCAGGAGTTTGAGACCAGCCTAACCAACATGGAGAAACCCCGTCTCTACTAAAAACACAAAATTAGCTGGGTATGGTGGTGCATGCCTGTAATCCCAGCTACTCGGGAGGCTGAGGTAGGAGAATCACTTGAACCTGGGAGGCAGAGGTTGCGGTGAGCCGAGATAGTGCTATAGTGCTATTGCATTCCAGCCTGGGCAACAAGAGCGAAAGTCCGTCTCAAAAAAAAAAAACAAAAACATATATATATATACACACAAAAAAACTTAGCTGGGTATAGTGGCATGTGCTGTGGCTACTCTAGAGCTACTCTAGAGGCTGAGGTGGGAGGATTACTTCAGCCCAGGAAGTTGAGGCTGCAGTGAGCCATGATCGCACCACTGCACTCCAGCCTGGAGATAGAGCAAGACCCTGTATCAAAAAAATTTTGAAAAGAGAAAAGAAACATTGCACTATACAAATGTTTGAGGTTAATAAGGGGATCTCTAAATCTAAAAAAAAATTAATGATAATTTTAAAATTTCTAAACTAAAAAGAAATTAAAACACATCACCCTAATACCCAAATTAATTAACCTCTTTGCTGAAGTTTACAGATGGACTTGCTTTGTCTCAAAGCAAAATATGATAAAATTCTAATGATTTATAACAGAAAGGTTGATCTCTTTGGGAATTCCTTCTCTCTGGCTTGATATTGACAGCCAGTACATGTATAATTAAAATTCACCCTAAGGACAAAGCCACCATGAGAATGAGGTACCACCTCACACCCATTAGAATGGGTACTATTGAAGAAAAAAAAAAAAACAGAAAATGGTAATGTGGGCTAAGTGTGGCGGCTCCCGCCTGTAATCCCAGCATTTTGGGAATCCAAGGCAGTGGATCACTTGAAGTCAGGAGTTCGAGACTAGCCTGGGCAACACGGTGAAACCCCATCTCTTCTAAAAATACAAAAATTAGCAGGGCGTGGTGGCGGGCACCTGTAATCTCAGCTACTCGGGAGACTGAGGCACGAGAATCGCTTGAACCTGGGAGGCAGAGGTTGCGGTGAGCCGAGATCGCACCACTGCACTCCAGCTTGGGTGACAGAGTAAGACTCTGTCTCAAAAAAAAAAAAAAAAAAAAAAAAACAAGAAAAAAAAAACACAAGAAAATACTAATGTGGAAAATTGGAACCCTTGTGCACAATTGGAGGGAATGTAAAATGGTATAGCTACTATGGAAAACAGCATAACAGTTCTTCCAAAACTTAAAAATAGAATTACTATATGATCTAATAATTCCATTTCTGAGTGTATATTGAAAAAAATGGAAAGTAGGAACTTGAGGAGATATCTGTACACCAATGTTCATGGGAGCATTATTCGTAACAGCTAACATGTGAAAGCAACCCAAGTATCCATCGATGGCTGATGGAACCAAATGTGGAATATTCATGGGATAGAATATTATTAACCTTAGAAAGGAAGGAAATTCTCACACATGCTACAACATGGATACACCATGAGGATATTAGGCTAAATGAAGTAAGGCAGACACAAAAGAACAAATTCTGTATGATTCAACTTATATGAGGTCCCTAGAGTACTCAAATTAACCAAGACACAATGTAGAATGTGGTTAGGGTGGGGGAAAATGGGGAATTATTGTTTAATAGGTATAAGAGTTTTGGTTTTGCAAAATGAAAAGAGTTCTGTGGATAGATGATGGCGACGATAGGAAAACAATGTGAATGTACTTAATGCCACTGAACTGTGCACTTAAAAATGATTAAGATGGTACCTCTACACACCACTTAAAATGGCTACAGTCCAAAAACCTGACAATTCCAAACACTCGAAAGGATGTGGAGCAACAACAGCAATGAACTCTCATACATTGCTGGTAAGAATGCAAAATGGTAAGATTACTTCGGAAAACAGTTTGGCAGTATTTTACAAAGCTAAACATAGTCTTACAAAATGATTCAGCAATCACACTCCTAGGTATTTTCTCAACTGAGTTGAAAACTTATGTCCACACAGAACCTGCACATGAATATTTATAGCAGCTTATTCATAATTGCCCAAAACTGGAAGCAACTAAGATGCCCTTTAATAGATGAATGGATAAACAAACTGTGGTACATTCAATGGAAGTGTTCAGTGATAAAAAATAAATGGGGGCCAGGCACGGTGGCTCACGCCTGTAATCCTAGCACTTTGGGAGGTCAAGGCAGGCAGATGGCCTGAGCCTAGGAGTTCGAGACCAGCCTGAGCAATATGGTGAAACCCCATCTCTGCAAAAAGAATACAAAAATTAGCCAGGTAGGGGGACACATGCCTGTAGTCCCAGCTACTTGGGAGGCTGAGGAGGGAGGATCACTGAGCCCGGGAGGTCAAGGCTAGAGTGAGCCATGATTATGCCACTGCACTCCAGACAGGGTGAAAGAGTGAGGCCCTGCCTCAAAAATAAAATCCCTAGCACTTTGGGAAGCCGAGGCAGGCAGGTCACCTGAGGTCAGGAGTTCGAGACCAGCCTGGCCAACATGGTGAAACCCCATCTTTACTAAAAATACAAAAAATTAGCCACGCATGGTGGCGGGCGCCTGTAATCCCAGCTACTTGGGAGGTTGAGGCAGGAGAATTGCTTGAACCCAGGAGGCAGAGGTTGCAGTGAGCCAAGGTCCCGCCACTGTACTCCAGCCTGGGTGACAGAGCGAGATTCTTTCTCAAAAAATAAAAAGAAAAGGAAAAGAAAAGAAAAGAAATGGGCTATCAAACTACAAAAGACATGGAGGAACCCTAAACGTATATTGCCTAATGAAAGAAGCTAATCTGTAGAGGCTATATACTGTATGATTCCAACTATATGGCATTTTAGAAAAGACAAAACTATGGAGACTGTAAAAAGATCAGTGGTTGCCAACTGTTTGGGGTTAGTGGAGAGGGGTGGAACACAGTATTTTTCAGGCTGGAACTATTCTGTGTGAAACTGTAATGGTGAATATATAACATTTATACATTTGTGGAAACCAGTAGAATTGTACAACACAAGAGGGAATCTTCATGTAAACTATCAGACTTTAGTTAGTTATTTGTATCAGTCTTGGTTCATTTATTATAAAAAATATACCACACTCATGCAAAATGTTAATAATAGGAGAAGCAGTGCAGAGGAAGGGGGATATGGAAATTCTACTATCTGATTTTCTGTAAATCTAAAACTGTTTTTAAAATGGAAGTCTATTATTTATTTTATTTTATTTTATTTTTTTTTGAGACAGGGTCTCACTCTGTCACCCAGGCTATAGTGCAGAGGCGCAATCTTGGCTCACTGCAACCTCCGCCTCCTGGGCTCAAACGATCCTCCCACCTCCTGAGTAGCTGAGACCACAGGTGCATGCCACCACACCCAGCTAATTTTTTGGGTTTTTGTAGACATGGGGTCTCAAAATGTTGCCCAGGCTGGTCTTGAATTCTTGGGCTCAAGCGATCCCCCTGCCTCAGCCTCCTAAAGTGCTGGAATTACAGGCGTGAACCGTCGCGCCTGGCCAGTCTGTTAAGTTTTTTAAAGGTTAAAATAATAAATTTTATGTTCTGTGTTTTTTACCCCAGTTTTGTGGGTGTTTTTTTCTTTTTGAGACGGAGTCTCACTCTGTCGCCCAGGCTGGAGTGCAGTGGCGCCGATCTCGGCTCACTGCAAGCTCCGCCTCCCAGGTTCACGCCATTCTCCTGCCTCAGCCTCCTCAGTAGCTGGCACTACAGGCGCCTACCATGACACCCGGCTAATTTTTTGTATTTTTAGTAAAGACGCGGTTTCACCGTGTTAGCCAGGATGGTCTCGATCTCCTGACCTCGTGATCCGCCCACCTCGGCCTCCCAAAGTGCTGGGATTATAGGCGTGAGCCACTGCGCCCAGCCCTTTTTATTTATTTATTTATTTTTTGAGATGGAGTCCAGCTCTGTCACCCAGGCTGGAGTGCAGTGGCACAATCTCGGCTCACTGCAACCTCCACTTCCCGGGTTCAAGCAATTATCCTGCCTCAGCCTCCCGAGTAGCTGGGATTACAGGTGCCCACCACCACGCCCAGCTAATGTTTGTATTTTTAGTAGAGACAGGGTTTCACTGTGTTGGCCAGGCTGGTCTCGAAGTCCTGACCTCATGATCCGCCCACCTCGGCCTCCCAAAGTGCTGGGATTACAAGCATGAGCCACCACACCCGGCCTCTTTTTTTTTTTTTTTTTTTTTTAAGATGGAGTCTTGCTCTGTTACCAGGCTGGAGTGCAGTGGCGTGATCTCGGCTCACTGCAACCTCTGCCTCCCCGGTTCAAGAGATTCCCCTGCCTCAGCCTCCTGAGTAGCTGGGACTACAGGCGCATGCCACCACGCCCCGCTAATTTTTTGTATTTTTTAGTAGAGATGGAATTTCATCGTGTTAGCCAGGATGGTCTCCATCTCCTGACCCCGTGATCCTCCTGCCTCGGCTTCCCAAAGTGTTGGGATTACAGACAGGAGCCACCACTCCCAGCCCTTACCTCAATATTTTAAAAAAATATTTTAAAATATTCACCCACAGGAGAAAACAGGTGCACAGTCCATATTTGTTTCTCATTACTGGGGAATAGAGTTCTCCAAATTTTTCCAGATACGGTTTTGTTTCACATTAGTGGTATCCTGGTGTCCTGGAAAGAGGCCAGAGCTAGGGCTGTCACAGGATATGTACGTGTGGGATGTGAATATGATGATTTATAGAAAGGAAATGCTGCCAGGGGAACAATAACATGTTAGTTCCAAAATTACCTCTAGTGCCAAAAATCAGACTTCATGAATTTAAGATAGATCTAAAAGGTACTGTTTTTAAAAATTATCCTCTGTAGTAATTTGCATAAATTTACTAGATTTGTGTAAGGTTTTTTGTACTTCAGAAATTGAAGTTAATCATCTTTAAATACGCCAGTGTTCCTTCTTTTACATGTTTTTACCGTATTTTCTCTCTCTTTTTTTTTTTTTTTTTTTTTTTTGAGACGGAGTCTCGCTCTGTCACTCAGGCTGGAGTGCAGTGTTGCGATCTCGGCTCGCTGCAAGCTCTGCCTCCCGGGCTCACGCCATTCTCCTGCCTCAGCCTCCGGAGTAGCTGGGACTACAGGCGCCCGCCACCACACCCGGAGAATTTTTTGTATTTTTAGTAGAGACGGGGTTTCACTGTGTTAGCCAGGATAGTCTCGATCTCCTGACCTCGTGATCCACCCGCCTCGGCCTTCCAAAGTGCTGGGATTACAGGGGTGAGCTACCGCGCCCGGCCTCATTTATTTAATTAATTAATGTATTTATTTATTTTTAATTTTTTTTGAGAGAGAGTTTCACTCTGTCACCCAGGCTGGAGTGCAATGGCACAATCTCAGCTCACTGCAGCCTCCATCTCCTGGGTTCAAGCAATTTTCCTGCCTTAGCCTCCTGAGTATACCTGGGATTATAGGCACCTGCCACCACGCCAAGCTAATTTTTATTATTTATTTATTTATTTATTTGTGAGACAGAGTCTCGCTCTGTCACCAGGCTGGAGTGCAGTGGCACGATCTCGGCTCACTGCAACCTCCACCTCCGGGTTCAAGCAATTCTCCTGCCTCAGCCTCCTGAGTAGCTGAGACTACATACAGGCATGCGCCACAACACCCAGCTAATTTTTGTATTTTTAGTAGAGATGGGTTTCATCATGTTGGCCTGGATGGTCTCTATCTCTTGACCTCGTGATCCACCCGCCTCAGCCTCCCAAAGTGCTGGGATTACAGGTGTGAGCCACCGCACCCAGCCTACTTTTTGTATTTTTAGTAGAGGGGGGCAGGTTTCACCATGTTGGCCAGGCCGGTCTTGAACCTCTTATCTCAAGTGATCCACTGGCCTCAGCCTCCCAAAGTTCTGGGATTACAGGCGTGAACCACCACACCCAGCCATATATATATATATGTGTTATGCCATAGTCTCTCTCTGTTGCTCAGGCTGGAGTCCAGTGGCATGATCTCGGCTCACCGCAACCTCATCCTCCTAAGGTCAAGCAATCTCCCACCTCCGCCTCCTGAGTAGCTGGGATTACAGGCATGCGCCACCATGCCTGCTAATTTTTGTATTTTTAGTAGAGATGAGGTTTCACCATGTTGGCCAGGCTGGTCTCAAGCTCCTGACCTCAGGTGATCCACCTGCCTCTGCATGGCCTCCCAAAAGTGCTGGGATTACAGGCATGAGTCATGGCACCCGACCATATTTTCTTATTTCTGGTTCTCTTCATGGTTTTCTTGCCCCTTTTATGGAAGGTGTATGAAATAGTGTAAAGATTAGTAGTAAAAAGAATTATCTCATAGGCATGATGCAGCATTTTGAAGGATGTACTGGGCTGGGCACGGTGGCTCACGCCTGTAATCCCAGCATTTTGGGAGGCTGCGGCAGGCGGATCATGAGGTCAGGAGTTTGAGACCAGCCTGGCCAATATGGTGAAACCCCGTCTCTACTAAAAATACAAAAATTGGCCGGGTGGCCTGGCGCGGTGGCTCACGCCTGTAATCCCAGCACTTTGGGAGGCCAAGGCGGGTGGATCACAAGGTCAGGAGATCGAGAGCATCCTGGCTAACACGGTGAAACCCAGTCTCTACTAAAAATACAAAAAAAAAAATTAGCCTGGCGTGGTGACAGGCGCCTGTAGTCCCAGCTATTCGGGAAGCTGAGGCAGGAGAATGGCGTGAACCCGGGAGGCGGAGCTTGCAGTGAGCCGAGATAGCGCCACTGCACTCCAGCCTGGGCAACAGAGCGAGACTTCATCTCAAAAAAAAAAAAAAAAAAAAGAATGAACTGATGTGTGCTAGAATTTACTTTGAAATGCATTAAAAAACAGAGACTGATGATGGATAGAGGGATGGATAGAAATGGATAGATAATGATAAAGCAAATATAGTAAAATGTTAACGATGGGATCTAAGAGGTGTGTATACAGATGTTTACTACAAAAAGTTTCTCAACTTTTCTGTGTGTTTGAAATAATAAAATCATGAAATATTTAAAATATACCATAATGAAAACATAAAATCAAACACTTAGAATCTCTCTCCTACTCCCTCAAAAGAATTACTTTTCAGTACAGTTTTGTCACTTTCTAGTGACAATGAGGAAGCTGCTAAAACTTCCGAACTGTGTTGCCACCTAGGCTAAATTGTAAAACTGGACAAAATCAACAGTTTCCAGAACTAGGGGTTAATCAAAAGTCAACATGGCAGATTTGCATCCAAGATGGAGTTACTTTAGCCTTGACACCATCATTATAATCTGAACCATTCTGTGCCTCAGTTTCCTCATCTGTAAAAGAGACCAATGATATAAAACTCTTAAAGCTACTGCAAGATTAAAGGAATTATGTGGTTTAACCTGGCACATAGACACTATGTAAGTGTGAATCATTATCCTTCAGTGAACAAACAACTTTTGAATACCAAGTGTCTGGCACAACAGTGCTGGGATACAAAGTTAACTAAAACATGGTCTCCACATTCAAGGAGATTAGAGTCACTTCTTTATTACTTAACTAGTTTCTTTCTGCTTTGAATAACGCCTCTTGCCTCCTACAATGACATACATTTTCTGTTCTTGTCAGGTTTTTATAATTTTTGATGATAAAAAATAAGTAATGTTAAATTTTTTTTTTTTTGAGATGGAGTCTTGCTCTATCGCCCAGGCTGGAGTGCAGTGGTGCAATCTTGGCTTACTAACCTCCGTCTCCCGGGTTCATGCCATTCTCCTGCCTCAGCCTCCCAAGTAGCCGGGACTACAGGCGCCCGCCACCACGCCTGGCTAATTTTTTATATTTTTAGTAGAGATGGGGTTTCACCATGTTAGCCAGGATGGTCTTGATCTCCTGACCTTGTAATCCGCCCGCCTCGGCCTCCCAGCGTTCTGGGATTACAGGCGTGAGCCACCACACCCAGCCAGTAATGTTTAAATTTTACTACAAATTTATTGCGTGTCCTTCTGTTCAGGGTCAGAGTGGCCCTTAATTTTGTGTATTTAGTTTTTTTAAATTTAATTAAAAAAATAGTGATGGGGGTTCACACACACACACACACACACACACACACACACACACACACAACAGTTTTCAAATGTCATTTTAGGTGTTGGAAGCTTCAGAGTCATTTTTGAGCCCCACCCTAGACCTATAAAATTACAGTTTCCTGGGAGGGGTAACATAGGAATTTTTATTTTTACACAAGCACCTTATGAAGTTTTCATACTAGTCAGGTTTGGAAACGCCTGGACTATAGTCTTTTTCCATTCTGCAGTGAGTACTTGTTTTTACAAGAACACGTGCTCTTAAATTTTTCAAGCACTAGGATCTTGTAAAAATATAGATTCTGGGAGTGGAATCCTCATATTTTGCCTTTGACAGGTTCCCAGCTCTGAGGCTGATGTTGCTGATGCCCAGACCATACTTTGAGAAGCAAAGAGCTGGAAGATAGGAAGCAAAAGCAAGGGACCCCACCATTCTTTCATGGGCTTTGTTCTTCCTGCCTGGCCAAACCACATTCATAGAAAGTAAAGTATGTTGAATATACACTTTCTTAATTTCACATGGAAGAATTCTAAGAAAAATTCTATTGCCTTTTTGGTGTGAGCAGTCATTATTTATGGAGAAAAGTTTCGACATGGTGTATAGTTGAAAGGCTTGGATACATGATTGGCTTACTTTTTTTTTTTTTGAGATGTAGTCTTGATCTGTCACCCAGACTGAAGTGCAGTGGCATGATCTCTGCTCACTGCAACCTACCTCCACCTCCCAGGTTCAAGCGATTCTCCTGCCTCAGCCTGTGAAGTAGCTGGAACTACAGGCACCTGCCACCATGCCCAGCTAATGTTTGTATTTTTAGTAGAGATGGGGTTTCACCATGTTGGCCAGGCTTATCTCGAACTCCCTACCTCAAGTGATCCATCTGCCTTGGTCTCCCAACGTGCTGGGATTACAAGCATGAGCCACTGTGCCCAGCTGATTCACTTACCTTTGATGCTTTCAGGCAATCAGAAGAAAAATCACCGGGCCACTTTGGAGTAAAAATAGACACCTTAATCAGAATCAGAAGCTATAGCTATGATAAGGGTAAACACAAGACTGCAGCCTGAGATTAAAAGACAAAATAATGGACTAAACAAACAAAAAACAGTGGTAACTAACTGAAAGTTCAATAAAATGCTTGGAAAGTTCATTTGCTTTCCTCCTTGCTTTCATATGCTACCTCATTTACATTTCTAATCACATTTTTGCAAACATTTATAGAGAATTTTTTATGACCCAGTCCCTGTGTTATGTACTTACTTTACTTTATTTTATTTATTTTTTTTTTTTGTAGAGACAGGGTCTTGCTTTGCTGCCCAGACTGGTCTCGAACTCCTGGCTACAAGTGATCCTCCTGCCTCGGCCTCCCAAAGTGCTAGGATGTCAGGCGTGAGTCACTACCCCTAGCCAGTTATGTATTTATTAAGCACCTACTATATAGTAGACACTGGGAATAGAGCAAAGGTGACAAGAAAAATAAAACAAAGAAATAAGCTCTCCTGAGGTTTACAATCAAGTGAGCAGACAGTTGTTAATCAAATCATCAGAAAAATAAACATGTGATTGCAAATGTGACAACTGTATGAGGAAAAACTTATAGTGCCGTGAAAAAGTTACAGGGACACTGCCTTAGAACAGAGTCACGCCAGGCTTTTCAACACAAGTGGAAGTCGAGCCAACATCTAAAACTTGAAAAGAAAATACCAGTTGAGGCCGGGTGCGGTGGCTCATGCCTGTAATCCCAGCACTTTGGGAGGCCAAGGCCGGCAGATCATTTGAGGTCAGGAGTTCGAGACCAGCCCGGCCAACATGGTGAAACCCCATCTCTACCAAAAATATTAAAAATTAGCCGAGTGTGGTGGCAGGTGCCTGTAATCCCAGCTACTTGGGAGGCTGAGGCAGGAGAATGGCTTGAACCCGGGAGTTGGACATTGCGGCAAGCCAGGATTATGCCACTCCAGCCTGGGCAACAGAGCAAGACTCTGTTTCAAAAAAAAAAAAAAAAAGGAAATACCAGTTGAAGAGGAAAGCATTTCGGGATATCTTGGAAAAGAGAATATCCTAGGCAGGGAATATTCTCTATGAAAGTCCTGGGCATTTGTTTGGCTTATTCCAGCTGGTGTAGCTGGAGTTCAGTAGGCAATGGGAAGAATGGCACAAGATGAGGTTCAGGAGGAGGGCAGGAGCCAGCTCATGTGGGAACTGAGAGGTGTGGGCCACTAGGGATTTTCAACTTTATATTAAGTGCAAAGGAAAGCCACTTAATAATAGAGTGACATCATCCGATTTGCCTTCAAAGAGCTTGCTCTGGCTGCTGGGCTAATAATAAATTTAAAGGCAGCAAGTAGGGCCAGGACTAGGGAGGGACGAGTAAGGTACTCACCTCAGATGCAAACTTTAAAGGGCTGTAAAAATATCCCATAATCCAGGTAAATTATATTTTAATGTGATATTTTATTTTTATTTTATTGTTTATTTATTTATTGTTTTGGAGATGGAGTCTTACTCTGTCGCCCAGGCTGGAGTGCAGTGGCATGATCTCGGCTCACTGCAACCTACGCTTTCTGGGTTCAAGAAATTCTCCTGCCTCAGCCTCCCGAGTAGCTGGGACTACAGGCACACGCTGCCACGCCCAGCTAATTTTTTTGTATTTTAGTAGAGACAGGGTTTCACTGTGTTACCCAGGCTGGTCTCGAACTCCTGAACTCAGGCAATCTGCCCGCCTCGGCCTCCTAAAGTACTAACATTACAGGCGTGAGCCACCCAGGCCCAGCCTACTTTTTATTTTTATTTTTGTTTTTATTTTTTATTTTTATTTATTTATTTTTTTGAGACAGAGTCTTGCTGTGTCGCCCAGGCTGGAGTGCAGTGGCACAATCTCAGCTCACTGCAAGCTCCGCTTCCCGGGTTCATGCCATTCTCCTGCCTCAGCCTCCCAAGTAGCTGGGACTACAGGTGCCTGCAACCATACCCGGCTAATTTTTTGTATTTTTAGTAGAGACAGGGTTTCACTGTGTTAGCCAGGATGGTCTCGATCTCCTGACCTCATGATCCACCCATCTCGGCCTCCCAAAGTGCTGGGATTACAGGTGTGAGCCACCACGCCTGGCATACTTTTTATTTTTATTTTATTTTTGAGACAGGGTCTCACTCTGTTGACCAGGCTGGAGTGCAATGGTGCAATCTCGGCTTATTGCAACCTCCGCCTCCCGGGTTCAAGCGATTCTCCTGCCTCAGCCTCCCACATAGCTGAGATTACAGGCGCCCACCACCGAGCCCGGCTAATTTTTGTATTTTTAGTAGAGATGGGGTTTCGCCATGTTGGACAGGCTGGTCTTGAACTCCTGACCTCAGGTGATCCGCCCACCTCAGTCTCCCAAAGTGCTGGGATTACAGGTGTGAGCCACCACACCCAGCCTATTTATTTTTTAAATAATAGAGACGGGGTTTCATCATTGGCCAGGCTGGTCTTGAACTCCTGACCTCAGGTGATCTGCCCACTTTGGCCTCCCAAAGTGCAGGCGTGAGCCGCTGCACCCTGCCATAGCACAGAGTTTGAGAAGACTAAAGGAGGAACATTGTCTCAGACATCCTTTACAATAACCCTAAGGTACTTCCTGTTTTATGCTTGATGCCCCTGAAATCCTAAGGGGTTAAGGAATTTAAACAAGGGGTTAAAAGAACAAGGAAAATCAGACATTAGTAAGTGTCTGATTTGAACTTTGAACTCCTATCTGACTTCATAGTGTGACTTGTAGCCACTACACTGAACTCCCCCTCAGAGGTGTAATTTTATTAATTTGGTATTAATGTTCAGAGGGAACATGGTGTAGTAAGAGGAAGGCTTAGGTCTAAGGACCCAGGTTCTAGTTCTGTCTTTTCTCGGTACCCCTCTAACAGCAGAGCAGTAGCTCTCAGTTGCAGAATCCCTGAAGGCCTCTAAGGGAACTTCCTTGTCATACAACAGATCTACTGAGTTGGAGTTGTTACCATATGCGAAGGCAGGTCCAGCATAAATCGATCTGATTCTTTTAAGCAAAGCTGTCGGTTGGATTTATTAAATGTAAAATCTCCAAATTTTTTAAATGTTGGCAAGGAATTCTCAACTGTTTAAAAAATAAACTTTATGCCAGGCACGGTGGCTCACGCCTATAATCCCAGCAATTTGGGAGACCGAGGCGGGCGGATCACGAGGTTAGGAGATCAAGACCATCCTGGTCAACATGGTGAAACCCTGTCTCTACTAAAAACACAAAAATTAACTGGGCGTGGTGGCGTGCGCCTGTAGTCCCAGCTACTCGGGAGGCTGAGGCAGGAGAATCGCTTGAACCCGGGAGGCGGAGGTTATAGTGAGCCAAGATGGCGCCACCGCACTTCAGCCTGGCGACAGAGCGAGACCTTGTCTCAAAAATAAAAAAATAAAAATAAATAAAAAGTTTGTGTGGACGAATGAATTACATCCTTGGGCCTAAGGTAAAAGAACTCAGGTTCTTATAACTCTGCTGTAAAAGAAGTGCCTATAGAATCTTTATTCTTTTTTATTATTATTATTTTTTGAGATAGAGTCGCTGTCGCCCGGGTTGGAGTACAGTGGCACGATCTCGGCTAACTGCAAGCTCCGCCTCCCGGGTTCACGCCATTCTCCTGCCTCAGCCCCACCCCCCCGCCCCGCCCCGCCCCGCCCCGCCCCGCCCCCGAGTAGCTGGGACTATAGGTACCCGCCACGGCACCCGGGTAATTTTTCTGTGTTTTTTTAGTAGAGATGGGGTTTCACTGTGTTAGCCAGGATGGTCTCGATCTCCTGACCTCATGATCCGCCCGCCTCGGCCTCCCAAAGTTCTGGGATTACAGGCGTGAGCCACCGCGCCCAGCCTAGAATCCTTATTCTAAAGAGAATATATTTTCTCTAAAAACACAACTTGGCGGGTCATGGTGGCTCGGGCCTGTCATCCCAGCACTTTGGGAAGCTGAAGCGAGAGTATCACTGGAGGCCAGGAGTTTGAAACCAGCCTAGGCAACATAGCAAGACGCCATCTCTCATTAAAATGAAATAAATAAAATAAAATAAAACAAAATAATAAAATAAAATAAACTTTAATAAACAAATTTAAAAATTTCAATGAGGGTATGAAATAAACCTAAAATGGAATATAAATGATAACAAGTGAACCTAACTGTAACATAGGCCAGGTGCAGTGGCTCATGCCTGTAAACCCAGCACTCTGGGAAGTTGAGGCAGGTGGATTGCTTGAGCCCAAGAGTCTAAGATCGGTGGGGGCACACAGTCAGACTTCACATCTACAGTTTTTTTTCTTTTCCCGAATGGGAGTCGCTCTGTCGCCAGGCTGGAGTGTAATGGTGCGATCTCGGCTTGCTGCAACCTCCGCCTCCCAGGTTCAAGCGATTCTCCTGCTTCAGCCTCCTGAGTAACTGGGATTACAGGCGCCCACCACCGCACCTAGCTAATTTTTGTATTTTTAGTAGAGACGGGGTTTCACCATGTTGGCCAGGCTGGTCTCAAACTCCTGACCTCATAATCCGCCCGCCTTGGCTTCCCAAAATGCTGGGATTACAGGTGTGAGTCACTGCGCCTGGCCCCAAAAATTTTTTTCAATTAGCTTGGCATGGTAGCATGTACTTGTGATCCTAACTATTCAGGAGACTGAGGCTGTAGTGAGTCATGATCATGCCACTGTACTCTAGCTTGGGCAACAGAGTGAGCCCTGTCTCAAATAAATAAATAAATAAATAAATAAATAAAAATAATATAACCACACTGAAGGGAATGAGGAAGAAAACAACTAACCTAAGTAACTTTGCAAAACAGTATTTTGACTGTGTGCTGTAAGGATAAAGAAGAAAAGGACTGTACCAAGTTCTGTACTCTAGTTAGTAAACTTTACATATTGACATCATATACTCCCTGATATGACATACTGAAAAGAACATTACTTAGTTAATAGTACTGTACAGATGTTAATTTCCTGATTTTGATATATGTACTGTAGTTATGTAATATGCTAATACCAGGGAAACTGGGTGATATGTATTCAAGAACTCTTTGTATTATTTTTGCAACTTTAGAGTAAGTCTAAAATTATTTCAAAATAAAAAATTCACACACACACACACACACACCTTAAACCCTCCCTTTGGTTGGCTGAGTTCCTCTAGAATGAACTGAGAGGCAAAGAGAGAGCCCAACTACTGTGTGTGTGTGTGTGTGTGTGTGTGTGTGTGTGTGTGTGTGTGTACAGCTCTGTTGCCCAGGCTGGAGTGCAATGGCACCATCTCGGCTTATCGTAACCTCCGTGTCCCGGGTTCAAGCGATTCTCCTGCCTCAGCCTCCTGAGTAGCTGGGATTACAGGCGTGGAACCACCATGCACAGCTAATTTTGTATTTTTAGTAGAGATGGGGTTTCTCCATGTTGGTCAGGCTGGTCTCGAACTCCTGACCTCAAGTGATCCACCCACCTCGGCCTCCCAAAGTGTTGGGATTACAGGCGTGAGCCACCACGCCCAGCCTCTTCTATTTATTTTTACACAATTGCAAGTATACCATACATAGTTACCTGCACGTTGCTTCTTTTGCTCAATGTTTCTACATCTTTCCTTATCAGTGTACGAAGTTCTTCATTCTTTTTTTTTTTTTTTTTTTGAGATGGAGTCTCTGTCACCCAGGCTGGAGTGCAGTGGCACAATCTCGGCTCACTGCAACCTCCGCCTCCCAGGTTCAAGCGATTCTCCTGCCTCAGTCTCCTGAGTAGTTGGGACTACAGGTGTGTGCCACTACGCCCGGCTAATTTTTGTATTTTTAGTAGAGATGGGGTTTCGCCATCTTGGCCAGGCTGGTCTCAAATTTGTGACCTCAAGTGATCTGCCTGCCTTGGCCTCCCAAAGTGCTGGGATTACAGGCATGAGCCACCGGGGCGCAGTCTGGTACTGACTGTTAAAAGCAACTCAAGACCACAATGATTCTAAATGTCATAGAAAAATGTTTGATTTTGAATTCAACAGCCTTGCACAGCATCTGGCCTCTAGCCTATACCTTCAGTGGTCTTTCCTGTTCCTACTCAGTGTATCTTTTTGCACTTTAAATTTGTATGTTATGTTAGTGGATAGTATTAATTGGCTCCCTCAACCTGCATTCTACCCTCCTACAGGATAGCTTCCTGTACTGCAGAAGTAGAAGACTAAAATCCACAGTTCTGGCTCCTTTGCAGGTACAGTTTGGGATGTGAATTGCTTCCACCAATTAGACATATTTGGTTGAGATTTGGAAGGCATAAGTGAGGTGGAAACTATTTTCCTGTTCCTTTGCTTATTTTTCTGCTGCAGGTGAGGTCGTGGAAATGTGAGGTTTTGTTTTTTATAGGACCTCCTTCAATGTTCCTTTTCCAGCTTCCTGAGGGTTGGGGTGCATTTGCTGTGGCAACAAGACTGAACCCTGGAATGCATCTAAGATATTGTGGTCTTGAACTCACTCAAAGTAGTGGCCTCAGAGGCAGCTCCCGTGGTGAGTCAGTTCAGTATTGTTCTTTTTTTATTTTTATTTTTTTTATTTTTTTTGAGATGGAGTCTCGCTCTGTCGCCCAGGCTGGAGTGCAGTGGCGCTATCTCGGCTCACTGCAACCTCCACCTGCTGGGTTCAAGCAATTCTCTGCCTCAGCCTCCCGAGCAGCTGGGATTACAGGTGCCTGCCACCATGCCCAGCTAATTTTTTGTATTTTTAGTTAAGACGGGGTTTCACCATCTTGGCCAGGCTGGTCTCAAACTCCTGACCTAAGGTGATCCACCCGCCTCAGCCTCCCAAAGTGCTGGGATTACAGGCGTGAGCCACCGCGCCCGGCCAGGTTCAGTACTGTTCTAGGTTTCACTCCTAAAGGCCCTGCCTAGAATCTATTCCTTTGGCCCTTTCAAAGATTTTCTAAGTGCATACATCTCTGCAATAAATTCCTTCATGCTTAAAATACTTCCAGTGGTTTCTGTTTCTTGCACCAAACTCTGACTGGTACAGTCAGTAGGATTTCAGAGAAAAATTATATATATATAGTGAAACATTCTACCTAGGCCTCATGTTCTAATTGAGGTTATTCTAATCGCCCTCCAGTGACCCTGGCCTGCCCTTCGCTCTGATCCCAACCTTGGCCCCAGGCTGATAAAGTATGCAGAGCTCTAATTCAGGAGCCTTCTGGCTTTACTGTTTGTCCTGACTTGACCTTTGTTCTAAGTTTCTCAGCATCTGGTTTAACCTTCCTTCAGGAACTGAGTTTCTATTCCAGTGACTCAATTTCTTTCTTTCCTTGAATCTTTTTTTCCCTCTATTTTATCTTCTTTTTTTTTTTCTTTTTTGAGACTGGGTCTCGCTCTGTCGCCCAGGCTGGAGTGCAGTGGCAGAGATTTTGGCTCACTTCAAGCCCCGCCTCCCGGGTTCACGCCATTCTCCTGCCTCAGCTTCCCGAGTAGCTGGGACCACAGGCGCCCGCCACAACGCCTGGCTAATTTTTTATATTTTTTTAGTAGCGACGGGGTTTCACCATGTTAGCCAGGATGGTCTCGATCTCTGGACCCCGTGATCCGCCCGCCTTGGCTTCCCAAAGTACTGGGATTATAGGTGTGAGCCACTATGCCTGTCTGTGCCTCAGTTTCTAAAGATTGGATTTTTGCCTAACACCTTGGAGGCTAACTTCCTATGTAGATGGTTAAAACATTACCAAGGGCCGGGCATGGTGGGTCACTCTGTTGCCCAGGCTGGAGTGCAGTGGTGCAATCTCAGCTCACTGCAACTTCTGTCTCCCAGTTCAAGCGATTCTCCTGCCCCTAGCCTCCTGAGTAGCTGGGACTACAGGCATGCGCTGCCACGCTTGGCTAGTTCTTGTATTTTTAGTAGACATGGGGTTTCACCATGTTGGCCAGGCTGGTCTCGAACTCCTGACCTCAATTAATCCGTCTGCCTTGGCCTCTGAAAGTGCTAGGATCACAGGAGTGAGCCACTGTGCCCAGCTATGCCTACCCTTTAAAGAAAAATACTGGTGCTTCTCTTCTAAGAAATCTAGGAAGTTGGAAGATAAGTTCACAAGGGGAGAACATTAAAGTAGAAGAAATTCACATGGGTGGACATCACATAATTTTTTTTCAGTAAAGAGAATCAAGGACATGTTCTAAAATAGAAAACAAGAAATCCTTGTAAAAACATATTGATGTGTTCAGGCAAAAATCAGGAAGGATGAAGACATGGGATTCAAGAAACACGGCAACCAACCAAGAATGCAGTGAAGAGGAATGTCAAGATGTGGCAGAGCTGGAAAGCAATCTGTGTGCATAGATTGTCAGTGGACTCCAAGGAGCATGTAATCAAGAATGAGAATGGAATGGATTTCATGTTGCAGATGGATAAAGGAGGCACATATTTCTTCTTTTCAGCAGGGAAAAAAAGGCGATTAACATTTATAGGAAAAGCCAAAAAATTCACAAGAATGCCACAGTCCAGATATGAAGCAAACTAAGATCTGGCTTCACGTTTTTGTTTTGTTTTGTTTTGAGACAAAGTCTCACTCTCGCCCAGGCTGGAGTGCAATGGCACAGTCTCAGCTCACTGCACCCTCTGCCTTCTGGGTTCAAGTGAGTCTCTTGCCTCAGCCTCCCGAGTAGCTGGGACTGCAGGTGTGCACTACCACGCCCAGCTAATTTTTGTATTTTTGGAAGAGACAGGGTTTCACCATGTTGGCCAGGCTGGTCTCAAACTCCTGACTTCAGGTGATCCGCCTGCCCTGGCCTCCCAAAGTGCTGGGATTATAGGCGTGAGCCACCACTCCCAACCCTGGATTCTTCTTTTTTTTTTTTTTTTTTGAGATGGAGTTTCACTCTTGTTGCCCAGGCTGGAGTGCAATGGCATGATCTCAGCTCACTGCAATCTCCGCGTCCCAGGTTCAAGCGATTCTCCTGCCTCAGCCTCCTGAGTAGCTGGGATTACAGGCATGGACCACCCAAGCCCAGCTAATTTTGTATTTTTAGTAGATATGGGGTTTCTCCATGTTGGTCAGGCTGGTCTCGGACTCCTGACCTCAGGTGATCCGCCCACCTCGGCCTCCCAAAGTGCTGGGATTACGGGTGTGAGCTACCGTGCCCGGCCTCCTGGATTCATTTTTTATTAACATTGATAGGATTTAAGGAAAGATATATTCTCTTTTAGGTGACAGCAGTGTCAAAAAGTGGACCCTGAAGGAGGAAATGTCCTGGTGTGCCTCCCGTGTCTGCCTTGAGTAATATTTACATAGTGATAGTAAAGCAAATGCTGCTTACTGCTGTTCAAAGTTTAGAATCAGTTATAGACAAAACACTGACTATTTATTTACAGTTACAGAACAGGGTGTAGCTGTCATTAACCTTGAAGTTATAAAACGAAAAGACAGAAAGCAAAAGTGAAGCTGACAGAGGTTGGGTGGAAGAAGAAGAGGAGAGAATGAAAGGAGGGAGTGATAATGGCTTTATCTTATATACTGGGTAGACAAGAGCTGCTGTAAAGTTGATGAGCAAGAAGCAGGAGTTTAAGTATCTTATTTTAAGTCATAAAAATTTTCAGTATTATACCTAAGGATAATATAACTATTAAAAATGGGGAGGCCGGGCATGGTGGCTTATGCCTGTAATCCCAGCACTTTGGGAGACAGAGGTGGGTGGATCACAAGGTCAGGAGTTTGAGACCAGCCTGGCAAACATAGTGAAACCCCATCTCTACTAAACATACAAAAAATTAGCTGGGTGTGGTGGTGGGCACCTGCAATCCCAGCTACTTGGGAGGGTGAGGTGGGAGAATCACTTGAACCTGGGAGGTGGAGGTTGCAGTGAGCTGAGATTTCACCATTGCACTCCAGCCCAGGTGACAGTGCCAGACTCCATCTCAAAATAAATAAATAAATAAATAAATAATAAAATAAACTGGGGAGGACAGAGAGTGGCCTAGGTAGTTAAATCCTTACCATCCAATGGTAGGAGTAAATACAGGACTAAAATTGATGCATGGAGAAATATTAACATAGGAGGCTGGGTGTGGTGGCTCACAGTTATAATCCCAGTGCTTTGGGAGGCTGAGCCAGGAGGATGACTCGAGGCCAGGAGTTTGAAACCAGACTGGGTAACATAGTAAGATTCCATTTTTACAAAAAAAAAAAATTGTAATTAGCCAGATGTGATGGCACGCATCTATAGTTCTGGCTACGGGGAAGGCTGAGGTGGGAGGCTCTCTTGAGCCCAGGAGTTCGAGGCTTCAGTGAGCCATGATCACACTACTGCAACAGAGTGAAGAGTTAGAGACCTTGTCTCCAAAACAAAACAAAACAAAACAAAACAAATTAACATAGAAATATTACTCAGAGTTATAAAGTGACTACCTGCAAATAAAAATAAAATGACTTGCCCCCAAGCAGCACTAGGGTGAGGAGTACGGAAGGAATGAAGAGGGGTCTGTGGCATTTCATTATGTCTTTCTAGACTGGCTAATTTTTTACTATGTGTGATTAAAACAGCTAATAAAAATTAGGACAAGTTAACTGAAAATAGATATAATAGGTCGGGCATGGTGGCTTATGCCTGTAATCCCAGCTACTTGGGAGGATGAGGCAGGAGGGTCACTTGAGCCAGGGAGGTGGAGGTTGCAGTGAGCCAAGACTGCACCACTGCACTCCAGCCTGGCCAACAGAGTGAGACTCAGTCTCAAAAAAAAAGAAAATAGATATAAGAGGCCGGGTGTAGTGGTGCATACCTGTAATCCCAGCTACTCTGGGAAGCTGAGGCATGGAATTGCTTGAACCCAGGAGGCAAGGTTGCAGTGAGCCAAGATGGCACCACTGCACTCCAGCCTGGGTGACAGAGCAGACTCCATCTCAAAAAAAAAAAAAAAAAAAGAAAGGAAAGGAAAATAGAGGCCGGACGCGGTGGCTCATGCCTGTAATCCAGCATTTTGGAAGGCCGAGGGGGGGTGGATCACCTGAGGTCAGGAGTTCGAGACCAGCCTGACCAATATGATGAAACCCTGTTTCTACTAAAAATACAAAAAGTACCTGGGTGTGGTGGCGCACACCTGTAATCCCAGCTACTTGGGAGGCTGAGGCAGGAGAATCACTTGAACCCGGGGGGTGGAGGTTGCAGTGAGCCGAGATCACGCCATTGCACTCCAGCCTGGGCAACAAGAGCGAAACTCTGTCTCAAAAAAGAAAATAGATATAATAGGCCAGGTGTGGTGGTGCATGCCTGTAATCCCAGCTACTCTGGCCTGTATTTTCTTATACAAAAATCTATCTCTAGGTTCTTCCCTTGCCATATTTTGAGACAAAGGTAGCAGGTAGGAGATTCTGGTACAGTTTTAGGGTACATATAAATGAAGGGAAAAACATAAAAATACTCATAAAATAAGAGTAGCATTAATTCTTTTTTTTTTTTTGAGACAGCATCTTGCTTTGTTGCCCAGGCTGAAGTGCAGTGGCGCAATCTCGGCTCACTGCAATCTCTACCTCCCGGGTTCAAGCGATTATCCTGCCTCAGCCTCCTGAGTAGCTGGGATACAGTCTTGTGCCACCATGCCCAACTAATTTTTGTATTTTTTAGTAGAGACAAGGTTTCGCCATGTTGGCAAGGCTGGTCTCAAACTGCTGGCCTCAAGTGATCCTCCTGCCTTGGCCTCCCAAAGTGCTGGGATTACAGGCGTGAGCCACCGTGCCCAGCCTAAGAGTAGCATCAATTCTTCATTCATTAATTAAATTAGTAAAAATTAAATAGATATTATGTACCAGGCACTAGGCTAGATGGTAATACTGTGTATAAAGACAGGCCTAAAAGCATTATTCCATCCCTAGTAGTACTTTCACTGCTTGAAATTTTAGAAGATATGTTCATTTAGTGTTCTTTGATGTAGGGAGCTGTCCTGAGCATTGTAGGATATTTAGTAGCATTCCTGGTTTCTACCACTAGATGCCAGTAACCTCTGCTCCCCCCTTACCCTCCCTCCCCAGTTGTGGCAATGTCTCCAGACATTTTGAAATATCCCAAGGGTAGGCTGGGCGCGGTGGCTCACACTTGTAATCCCAGCACTTTGGGAGGCCGAGGTGGGCGGATCTCGAGGTCAAGAGATCGAGATCATCCTGGCTAACACGGTGAATCCCCGTCTCTACTAAAAATACAAAAAAAAATTAGCCGGGCGTGGTGGCGGGCACCTGTAGTCCCAGCTACTCAGGAGGCTGGGGCAGGAGAATGGCATGAACCCAGGAGGCGGAGCTTGCAATGAGCCGTGATCGCGTCACTGCACTCTAGCCTGGGCAAGAGAGCGAGACTCCGTCTCAAAAAAAAAAAAAAAAAAAAAATCCCAAGGGTAAAAACTGTCCCTGGTTGAGAATCATTGTGATCACATTTTTAAAGAACTAAAGTGTATTTAATTTTAGAGATACTACTGCTATGCCAACCTTGCCTATTTCTTATGTGATGAATTTGTCTTATATGTCATTGAACATTTGAACTTGAGAAATATAAACCACAATGGAGTCTGATTCTCAGATAAGATAATTGGGATTTTAAGTTGAGTGGCATTTCCAAATAACTTATGAATTGCAGAATAAATACAATTGTGTATTTTTAGGTTATGGTGGTTTATCTTAAATCATACGTGGCTGATAAAAATATGATATCTAAGCTCTTGGCCAGGTGTGGTGGCTCACGCTTGTAATCCTAGCACTTTGGGAGGCGAAGGCAGGCGGATCACTTGAGGTCAGGAGTTCGAGACCAGCCTAGCCAACATGGTGAAACCGTGTCTTTACTAAAAATACAAAAATTAGCCGGGCATGGTGGTGCACAGCTATAATCCCAGCTACTCAGGAGGCTGAGGCACGACAATTGCTTGAACTCGGGAGGTGGAGGTTGCAGTGAGCCGAGATCACGCCATTGCACTCCAGTATGGGAGACAAGAGTGAGACTCTGTCTCAAAAAAAAAAAAAAAAAAAAAAGAAAAATAAAAAGAATTCTAAGCTCTTAGGATTTCTGTTGAGTTAACCAGATGGTATGCTTGTATCTACCCACAAAATCTTTCCATTCTTTTCAAATAAAAAGCTATTTTTCACTTTCCACTTTAAGGTCATATGCTTTTAGATTCTTTCAAAATAAAAAGATCCAGCCTACATTAGACACTAAACTATTACAAGTCCTGAGACTTGTGATAAATCTAAGGAAAATGTCACATACCTTAATTTCTTTACCCTCACCTAACCTAGGCTTCCAACCTACCACTTGTTGGAAGTTACCCGTATAGTAACAGCAAACACACATATACTCCTTATTATGTGCCAGGCAGCATTGTAAGCTCTTTTACATATATTTAAAAATTTCAAATGTTTTATTTTGGCTTAATTTCAGACAGAAAAGTTGCAAGAATAGTACAAAGAGCTCTTGGATACTTTTCACCCAGATTCACCAATTGTTACCATTTTACTACATTTGCTACCCCCTCCCACATCTCCTGTCGCTCACTCTCATGTGCTCTATCTATCTGTATATCCATCCATCCACCTCACTGTGGTCTTGTTCTTTACTCAATAGGATATATTTATTTGACTTCATTTTTTATTCTGATGTTCAAATGGTCCCAGATTTGGCCAATAAGGGGCTCTTCAAATAGGCTTCTGTGACCTATGCCATGGCACAAAGCGATGTTCCAGGCTCATCTTGTATTTTTTCTGCTCCAGTCTTAGAACTAAGCATGTATTCAAGGAGTCTCGGTTTTTTGTCAAAGGAATACTGAGCTAGAGCCAGTCCAAATCATGGTTATTTTTAAGGGAGAAGGGATTTAGAAGCCAAGATCTGGATGTTACGTGTTCTCATTGCTACTGGGCCCTATGAGGGGACAGAACTGAGAAATAAATGTATTTGTACATTTTTACACCTATATACATAGGTGCAGACACACATGCATGCGTACACATTCATTAACATTTAGTCTTCACTACAACCCTATGAAGTAATTACTTTTTTTTTTTTATGAGACGGGGTCTTGCTCTGTTGCCCAAGCTGGAGTGCAATGGCATGATCTCAGCTCACCACACCCTCTGCCTCCCGGGTTCAAGCCATTCTCCTGCCTCAGCCTCCTGAGTAGCTGGGACTACAGGCATGCACCACCATGCCTGGCTAATTTTTGTATTTTGTATTTATTTATTTATTTGAGACGGAGTTTTGCTCTTGTTGCCCAGGCTGGAGTGCAATGGCGTGATCTCGGCTCACTGCAACCTCTGCCTCCCAGGTTCAAGTGATTCTCCTGCCTCAGCCTCCCGAGTTGCTGGGATTACAGGTGTGTGCCACCACGCCCAGCTAATTTTTTGTATTTTTAGTAAAGACAGTGTTTCACCATGTTAGCCAGGCTGGTCTCGAACTCCTAACCTTAGATGATCCACCCGCCTCAGCCTCCCAAAGTGTAATTTTTGTATTTTTAGTAGAGAAGAGGTTTCACTATGTTGGCCGGGCTGATCTTGAACTCCTAACTTCGTGATCCACCTGCCTTGGCCTCCCAAAGTGCTGGGATTATGGGTGTGAGCCACAGCATCTGGCCTCAAGTAAATACTTTTATTGCTCTCATGTTCTCAGTTTTGAGACTCAGAAGAAGTTAATTTCTGACTGAAATTAAGCTAAAATAAACATTAAAAAATTTTAAATATACGTAAAAGAGCTTACAATGCTGCCCGGCAAATAACTTGGCAAAGGTCTCCTGGTTAAGTGGTAAGGCTGAGATTGGAAGATGGGCAGTCTAGCTCCAGGCTCCCCTCTTAGCATTAATATTTGAAGATAAAAGGGTTGAGAAGGAAGTTTATCCTACATGACCTAAGAATCCTATTGAGTTCTTTAGCTTAATGTCTTGTACCGTGGTCTACCTGGAGAGAAGAAGGGGCTGAGGGTGTACTGCTGGCCTGGATATAAAATCCAAGTAACAGACTTCACATAGAATTGATTTTCCCTTTGGAAGACTAAAGGTTTGCAACTGCACCAGACTTGCTGTACCTGGCTCTATTCCCTAAGGATGAGTTTAGTCCTACAAGGATTTTCAGTCTATTTTCAGGAAATAGGCTTCTAGTGGGTTTGCCCTGCAAACCACTGTATGTGCTCATTGTTCACCTCAGGCTAAGCTGAGGCTCCACCTCCTGCTGCTTATTCAAATTTCAACCTACTAATGAAAAGCAAGGGAATTAGTGTATTATTTTAAGTGGAACATAAACAGGATCATGGATTTTTAGATAAGGCCAAAGAAAATTTATTACTTTAAAATTAATTAAGAAGTACTTCACGGTAAAATATTGGGAAGTTTTTAATACCATCTATACGGAAAACAGTTGTCTTGCTCAAGACTACATTGCTCTGATACCAGTGTGAATTTATCTTTGGAAGGTTTTGTAATAGCAGAAAGAAGTAGCTGAACACAAATGAGACATAACTTTTTGTATTTTTAGTACAGATGGGGTTTCACCATGTTGGCCAGGCTGGTCTCAAACTCCTGACCTCAAGTGATCCGCCTGCCTCAGCCTCCCAAAGTGCTGAGATTACAGGTATGATCCACTGCATCTGGCCTGAGACATATATTCATATATTCTTTTTCCTTTCTTTTTTTTTGTTTTTTGAGACGGAGTTTCACTTTTGTTGCCCAGGCTGGAGTGCAATGGCACGATCTCGGCTGACCGCAACCTCTGCCTCCTGGGTTCAAGCGATTCTCCTGCCTCAGCCTCCCAAGCAGCTGGAATTACAAGCATGTGCCATGACACCTGGCTAATTTTTTTGTAGAGACAGGGTTTCACCATGTTGGCCAGGCTGGTCTCGAACTCCTGACCTCAGGTGATCTGCCCTCTTCGGCCTCTCAAAGTGCTGGGATTACAGGTGTGAACCACTGCACATGGCCTAAGACACATGTTCTTAACTTTGGGAATGGTATCATGAAAATGAAAAAATTCATGTGGCCGGGCATGGTGGTTCTTGCCTGTAATCCCAGTACTTTGCTTTTTTTTTTTTTTTTTTTGAGACGGAGTCTCGCTGTCGCCCAGGCTGGAGTGCAGTGATGAGATCTCAGCTCACTGCAGGCTCCGCCCTCTGGAGTTCACGCCATTCTCTTGCCTCAGCCTCCCGAGTAGCTGGGACTACAGGCGCCCGCCATCTCGCCCGGCTAATTTTTTTGTATTTTTAGTAGAGACGGGGTTTCACCGTGTTAGCCAGGATGGTCTGCATCTCCTGACCTCGTGATCCGCCTGCCTCGGCCTCCCAAAGTGCTGGGATTACAGGCATGAGCCACCGTGCCCGGCCAATCCCAGTACTTTGGAAGGCTGATGCAGGAGGCTCATTTGAGCCCAGGAGTTAGAAACCAGCCTAAGCAACATAGTGAGACCCTGTCTCTGCAAAAATAAAAATAAAAAATAAAAAAAATTAGCTGGGCATGGTGGTATGAGTCTATAGTCCCAGCTACGTAGGAGGCTGAGGCGGGATGACTGCTTGAGCCCATAGTGCGGTGAGCTATGATCATGCTGTCCTGCTGGACCCCTATTGACTCCAGTAGGGATGGCACAAGGGTCAAGAGGCTGAAAAAGAGACCTAGAGCCAGCAAGGGAGACATAGGGTTTAACCAGGGGGAACTTTCATACAGGGACAGTGCAGCGGCAGTGGGCTGGACAGGAGAATTGCTACTGCTTGTAAAAAGCATGCAGTTTATATAGCACCTTCGCTTAGCACCCTCCACCCCAGCAACCTCCACATAGCAACCCTAATTTCTTAGGTTGTTATTGCTGCCAGGCGCTTCTGCCATACAGGGTCATTCTCAGGGTATGCTTCAGTCAAGCTGTTGCTGTCAGGTGTGTCAGGTGTGTACACACGCCACTGTGCTCCAGCTTGGGCAAACCAGAATGAGACCCAGTCTCGAAAAAACATTTTTTAAAATAATAATTTTAAAAAAGATGCTCCAATTCATTGGTAATTGGGGACATTAAAACCATAATGAGATACCATTAGATTGGCAAAAGTTAAGAATTCTGAGAATTCCAAGCATTGTCATTGGATTGGTGAAGCAAAAGGAACTTTCTAGTAAGAGGGATGTTGGTGTATTCACTTTGGAGAGCAATTTAGCAACTTACATTGACATACATGCCTAGGACCCAGCAATTCTACTCCTTGGTAAATTTTCTTTCTTTTTTTGGGGGGGAGACAGAGTCTCACTCTGTCGCCCAGGCTGGAGTGCAGTGGTGTGATCTCGGCTCACTGCACCCTCCGCCTCCCCCGTTCAAGTGATTCTCCTGCCTCAGCCTCCCAAGTAGCTGGGACTACAGGTGTGTGCCACCATACCTGGCTAATGTTTGTATTTTTAGTAGAGATGAGGTTTCACCAGGTTGCCCAGGCTGGTCTCAAACTCCTGGCCTCAAGGGATCCATCCACCTCGGCCTCCCAAAGTGCTGGGATAACAGGTGTGAGCCATCACACCTGGCTAATTTTATAGATTTTTATGTTATTTTTAATGCTTAGGGTAATATAATTTTGACTATCCATGTTATCTCACTTTAAAATGAGCTCTATTTTTCTCTTAAACAGGTTTCTGAAAATCAACATGCACTAAAGTATACTTATAATAAGATTGTACCAAAGTCACTCATCTAAAAATGTCCATATTTTAAGACTATGCCCAGGGAAAAAAGGATAGAAAGTGTATTAGTGACAAAGTGAATCCAAGGAAAGAGAATCTATGGAATGTATAAAGAAAGAAAGAGATTTATTATACGGAATTGGCTTACTTGAATATAGAGGCTGACAAGTCCCAAGAACTTCAGTGTGAATCTGAAGACCAACAGGTCCAAAATCCAGGAAGAGCTAATGTTTCAGTTTAGTCTGAAGGTAGGAAAAAAATCAGCTCAAAGGCAGTCAGGCAGGAGGCAACCTGTCTTACTCATGGAGGTAAATTAGCTTTTTATTTGTTCTATTTACGCCTTCAACTGATTAGGGCCACCCACATTAGGGAGGCCAATCTACTCTGTCTACCAATTTGAATTTTGTTTGTGTGTTTGTTTGTTTGTTTTGAGACAGAGTCTTGCTCTGTTGCCCAGGCTGGAGTGCAGTGCCACGATCTCTGCTCACTACAAGCTCCGCCTCCCGGGTTCACGCCATTCTCCTGCCCCAGCCTCCCGAGTAGCTGGGACTACAGGTGCCTGCCACCACGCCCGGCTAATTTTTTTTGTATTTTTTAGTAGAGACGGGGTTTCTCCGTGTTAGTCAGGATGGTCTCGATTTCCCGACCTCGTGACCCGCCTCAGCCTCCCAGAGTGCTGGGATTACAAGCGTGAGCCACCGCGCCCGGCCACCAATTTGAATGTTAATCTCATCCAACAGTGCTCTCACAGACATATCTAGAATAATGTTTGACCATATATATGGGCAATCCGTGGCCCAGTTAAGTTTACACATAAAATTAACTATCACAAGGCCGGGCGCGGTGGCTCACGCCTATAATCCCAGTACTTTGGGAGGCCGAGGCGGGCGGATCACCAGGTCAGGAGATTGAGACCATCCTGGCTAACACGGTGAAACCCCATCACTACTAAAAATACAAAAAATTAGCCGGGCGTGGTGGCGGGCGCTTGTAGTCCCAGCTACTCGGGAGGCTGAGGCAGGAGAATGGCATGAACCCGGGAGGCGGAGCTTGCAGTGAGCCGAGATCATGCCACTGCACTGGTCAACAGAGGGAGACTCCGTCTTAAACAAACAAACAAACAAACAAACAAATTAACTATCACAGAAAGGAAATATATCAAAATGCTATCATACATTTTATTAGATAATAATAACTTCCTTTGGATTTGGCTCTATATTTTATTTCAAATACCATATTGTACTTCCTTAAATCATTATTGCTTTTTTCATGCTTTTAGTTTTATATGTTCAATCACTTTTAGCTTTTGTCAAATTCATTTATGAATAAAACATATTCTCTTGAAAACCTAAACAAAGAATTGACATTTTGCTAAAACAATTTTCATAAGGCCAAATTTCTAAAAATATTTTTGGCCATATGAGGTGGCTCATGCTTGTAATCCTAGCACTTTGGGAGGCTATTTAGTCACTATTTCAAATTCTTTATTGTTGAAACATTTATATACCCTCTTAATTTTCTCACTGATGATTGCAAATCTTTGTTTAAAGCATGAGTTTTAAATGAACATGATTGCTTTTTGGATGAAAAACGCATTTAACACTTTGAACACCACAATTTTTGATAACTGCTAGCACCTAACATTCACTTCACCACTTGCAATGTCATGTTTTTCTTTTCTTTTTTCTTCTTTTTTATTTTTTTATTTTTGAGATGGAGTTTCGCTCTTGTTGCCCAGGCTGGAGTGCAATAGCGCAATATCGGCTTACTGCAACCTCTGCTTCCTGGGTTCAAGCGATTCTCCTGCTTCAGCTTCCCAAGTAGCTGGGATTACAGGCACGCGCCACCACGCCTGGCTAATTTTGTATTTTTAGTAGAGACAGGGTTTCTCCATGTTGCTCAGGCTGGTCTCAGACTCCCGACCTCAGGTGATCTGCACCCCCTCTGCCTCCCAAAGTGCTGGGATTACAGGCGTGAGCCACTGCACCCAGCCACAGTGTCATGTTTTTCATTTCAGAGACGAAAATCATGTTTTATTTGTATTAATTCTTGCACAGTATCAAAAGAGATTTCAGGATGTTTCAAGACATGATCCAAGCTATGGTTCATTATCATGTTCTTCCATAGTATAAAAATATGAACATTTACAACATTTAAAATAACGCTAAACTTATCAACACTTTGCTGACACTTCATTCTGTGTGTTTCCAACTTATACCCTGTTTTTGAGACATGTTCTTACTATGTCACCCAAGCTGGAATGCAGTGGTGCAATCTTGGCTCACTGCAACCACCTCCGTCTCCCAGGTTCAAGCGATTCTCCTGCCTCAGCCTCCCGAGTAGCTAGCATAACAGGCATGTGCCACCACGCCTGGCTAATTTCTGTATTTTTTGTAGGGACGGGGTTTCACTATGTTGGCCAGGCTGGTCTTGACCTCAAGTGATCTGCCAGCCTCAGCCTCCCAAAGTGCTGGGATTACAGGTGTGAGCTACCGCATCCGACCTCCAACTTATAACTTTTAATTCAAGCACAATACCCATTCAGAAAGGTGTACATGTTATAAGTCTACAGCTTGATAAATTTTTCAGACTAACTGCACCCATGTAATTAGCTCTCAGATTAAGAAATAGAACATGCTAACATCCTAGAAGCCCAAATCTCTGTACTCTCCTTCAGTTACTTCCTTGCCACTCAAGGGTAACTAACATCCTGTTTTTGTACTTTACATTAATAGAATCATAAAGTATATTCTTTTGTATCTGTGTTCTGTTCAATATTATGTTTTTGAGATTCATCCATATTCTTTTTTTTTTTTTGAGATAGGGTCTCACTATGTGGCCCAGGCTGTAGTGCAGTGGTGTGATCACAGCTCACTGCAGCCTCGACCCCCTGGGCTCAGGTGATCCTCCCACCTCAGCCTCCCGAGTAATTGGGACCACAGGTGCATGCACCACCATGCCTGGCTAACTTTTTTGTATGTGTAGAGACGGGGTTTTGCCATGTTGCCCAGGCTGGTCTCAAACTCCTGGGCTAAGCAATCTGCCCACCTTAGCTTTCCCAAGTGCTGGGATTACAAGCGTGAGCCACCATGCCAGGGCGAGCAAGATTCATTCATATTCTTATGTGCAGCTATACATCTTTCACATATTGTATTATGTGAATACACCATAATTTGCTACGTTGGTTTCCAGTTTGGGGCATGAATGGTTGTAATTATGAATGCTACTGCTATGAACACTCACTGCTGTCAGTACAGTAGCCATTAGCTACATGTGGCTCTTTAAGTAAAATTAAATTGAAAATCAGCTCCTCAGTTGGATTAGCCACATTTCAAGTGCTCATGAGACTAGTGGCTTTACAAACAGCATAGAATGTAGAATATTTTCATTAATACAGAAAGTTCCATTACACAGCACTGTATACATGACTTGATAAACATGAGTTGCCAGGTTATAGGGTGTATATATACTCAGCATTGATAGAAAATAGTGTCAAGCAGTTTTGGGGTGTTTGTTTTCAAATATTTGTTATAAATTCCTCAATTTTAAAATATGAAAATGCTTTACTTTTTTTTTGAGATGGAGTCTTGCTCTGTCACCAGGCTGGAGTGCAGTGGTGCGATCTCGGCTCACTGCAATCTCCGCCTCCCAGGTTCAAGCAATTCTCTGCCTCAGCCTCCCGAGTAGCTGGGACTACAGGTGCACATCACCACACTCGGCTAATTTTTTGTATTTTAGTAGAGACGGGGTTTCGCCATGTTGGCCAGGATGGTCTCAATCTCCTGACCTCATGATCGGTGCACCTTGGCCTCCCAAAGTGCTGGGATTACAGGCATGAACCACTGTGCCCAGCCACTTTACTTACTTTTTACCTAAGAATTACAACGCACTAACAGTAAAACCAAATAAAAAACTAGACTAGGGCGGGCGTGGTGGCTCATGCCTGTAATCCCAGCACTTTGGGAGGTCGAGGTGGGCAGATTACGAGGTCAAGAGACAGAGACCACCTGGCCAACATGGTGAAACCCTGTCTCTACCAAAAATACAAAAATTAACTGGGCATGGTGGCACAAGCCTGTAGTCCCAGCTACTCGGGAGGCTGAGGCAGGAGAATCGCTTGAACCCGGGAGGCGGAGGTTGCAGTGAGCCGAGATCACATCACTGCACTCCAGCCTGGGCGACAGAGCGAGACTCCGTCTTGAAAAAAAAAAAAAAAAACTAGACTAAAAGTATTTAAAAGCAGTAGCAACTGTTACAGCAAGGAATGCTTCATAGGTAATACATAATGCAGCTACATTATTTACCAAGATGCAGGCCAAGCTAGCAGATGTTACAAATGTTTCTTAGGTGTCATTACAACAAAGAGGTTATCAATAGTTGTCACAAAAGACAAATTAATCCATATTAGAATTTACACAATTTATTAATTTTAGTGTTGTACTTACAATAATACTATTTACCATTGACACAGATGCATTTCAATAGTTTAACAATTGAGACAGTCATGCTGGTCTCTATCAGTGAAATATCATATCTGCTTATAATCCCAACCAATACTGGATATTATTAATCTTTTAAAGTTTTGGGAATCCGAGAGGCCAACGTTGTTAATTCACATTTAATCATGAATGAATTTGTGCATCTTTACATATATTAGTTGGTCTTTTTACCCTCCCCTTGAATTGCTGATTTATATCCCTAGCCCATTTTATTGATTTATAAATATTAATATTACATACATGATATGATTGTCCAAGTATTTCCTTTGCCCATTTAAATTTACTGATAAATGTTTTTATTAAGAAAATTAGTCCTTTGTCTACATAAGTCCTACAAATATTTTTCCCCAATTTGTAGTTCATCTTTTTCCTGTAGAATCATTTTAAATGACAGGTCTTCAAGTGTCTTCATCACTTTTCCTTTCGCTTCTGTGCTTTATACTTTTTTTTTTTTTTTGGTTTTTTTTTTTTTTTCCTTTTTGGGGAGAACGGGGTCTCGCTATATTGCCCAGGCAGGTCTTGAACGCCTGGGCTCAAGCTATGCTCCTGCCTCTTGCCTCCCTGAGAGCTGGGATTACAGGCATGAGCCACCGTGCCTGGCCATGGCTTCTGTGTTTCATTTAACGCTTTGAAAGCCCCATCTTCTCAAAGATTATATGAAAAGCTTATTCCAGTTTTTAAAATATTTGATACAAGGGTAATGTACTTTGGTATAAGGAGTGAGGTATAGATCCAGCTTTATATTTTTCTTTTTTTTTTTGAGACGGAGTCTTGCCTTGTCACCCAGGCTGGAGTGCAGTGGCGCGATCTCGGCTCACTGCAATCTCCGCCTCCCGGGTTCATGCCACTCTCCTGCCTCAGTAGCTGGGACTACAGGCGCCCGCCACCAAGCCCGGCTAATTTTTTATATGTTTAGTAGAGACGGGGTTTCACCACGTTAACCAGGATGGTCTCGATCTCCTGACCTCAGGATCCGCCCGCCTCGGCCTCCCAAAGTGCTGGGATTTCAGGCGTGAGCCACCGCGCGCAGCCCAGCTTTACATTTTTCAGACTGGCCTACCATGTCTTTGTCAGACATTGCCATTTACCTACCTAGCATCCATTCTTCCTAACAGATCCCTGACTTCACTCAGGGCTGGGATGTCCCAGCTTAAAATACTTTCCCCAACTCTCTTACAGCAAGGGATGGCTATGTGATTCAGTTCTGTCCCATGAGACATGGATGGAAGCCACTAAGTGGGGCTTCCAGAGATTTTAAATAAGGACACCTTTGACTGACATGCTCCATTTGGTCTCTTAAGCTTCATCTTCTTCCTGCTTGAAATGTAGATGTAATACTTAGAGGTGAAATAACTTTTCTGAGACAATGAGGATGAAAGCCACTCACCAAAGATGGCAGAATAGAGCAATAAATGGACCTTGAGTTCTTAATAACACTGTTAAACTGCCATATCAGTTATGGATTATGTAACCTTGGATTTATTACGTGAAAAAATAAACTCACAGTGAAGCTAGTAATCACAGGAATTTTTGTTTCTTGCAACCAAATATGTTCCTATCTGATACAGTATCCCCACTTATTTAATATTCCATCTTTTTATACCAATTTGACATGCTACCTTCATCACCTTCCCATGTATAATTAATTGGGTATAATTCTGGAAACCCTCCTGTTTCATTGACCTAAATGACTTAAATTTTTAATAGCTAATATAATAACAGCCAATGTTTGTTGAATGCCAAAACTATTCTGTTTATTACATTAATTATCTAGTTCATTTAACCCTCACAACAGCGCTTGGAGCCTTATTTTTTTATTTTTTTTTGAGACGAAGTTTTGCTCTTCTTGCCCAGGCTGGAGTGCAATGGTGACATCTCAGCTCACCACACTCTCCACCTCCCAGGTTCAAGCGATTCTCCTGTCTCAGCCTCCAGAGTAGCTGGGATTACAGGCACGCGACACCACGCCCAGCTAATTTTGTATTTTTAGTAGAGATGGGGTTTCTCCATGTTGGTCAGGCTGGTCTCAAACTCCCAACCTCAGGTGATCTGCCAGCCTCTGCCTCCCAAAGAGCTGGGATTACAGGCGTAAGCCACCGCACCTGGCCAAGGAATTCTAAAGCTGTTTTAAAAGACTGCATTTCAGTATGCATCCCTAAACACTATAGCTTAATTTTGCCTGTGTTTGAACTTCATATAAATGAAGTAATACAGTACAAATTCTTTGTCTTTTTCACTCAACATAATACTTGTGAAATTCTTCATGTTTTTGTATGCGGCTTTAGTTCATTTATTTTCATTGCTGCATAAGATTCCATTGTGTAATTATACCAACTTGTCTATTCTGTGTTGATGGACATGTTCCCGTTTTTGGCTATTTGAATAATGTTAACTGTGCACATTCTTGTACATATGTCTCTTATGGTACATGTACATGCATTTCGGTTGAATATATGTCAAGAGTATAATTGCATATCTTGGCCTTTAGTATTAAAAGCACGTTTCTGGCTGGGCGCAGTGGTTCATGCCTATAATCCCAGCACTTTGGGAGGCCAAGGCGGGCAGATCACCTGAGGTTAGCAGTTCGAGACCAACATGGTGAAATCCCGTCTCTACTAAAAATACAAAAATTAGCCGAGTGTGGCAGTGGGTGCCTGTAATCCCAGCTACTCGGGAGGCTGAGGCAGGAGAATCGCTTGAACCCAGAAGGCAGAGGTTGCAGTGAGCCAAGATCGCGCCACTGCACTCCAGCCTGGCAACAGAGCAAGACTTTGTCTAATAAAATAAAATAAAGCACATTTCTGATACCGTATTTCTACTCAAAAGCTCTGACAGGCTGGGCACAGTGTCTCACGCCTGTAATCCCAGCACTTTGGGAGGTTGAGGTGGGCAGATCACCGGAGGTTGGGAGTTCAAGACCCGCTTGGCCTACATGGAGAAACCGTCTTTACTAAAAACAAAAAAATTAGCCGGGTGTGGTGATGGGCACCTGTAATCCCAGCTACTTGGGAGGCTGAGGCAGGAGAATCACTTGAACCTGGGAGGCAGAGGTTGCAGTGAGCCGAGATTGCACCACTGCACTCCAGCCTCAGCGAGACAGCGAGACTCCATCTCAACAAAAAAGCTCTGACAAAGAAAGAATGGCCTAGAATGTCAGGTATGGTGCTGACATACCTGTTCAATTTCATTAACCACTAAACTTCAAACTGGTTTTCTTTTTATATTTTTAAATTTTTTTCCCCAAGCAAACTCACAAACTGCGATTCTATCTGAAAGAGTCTTCCCTACCTTCTTTGCCTAGTTAACTTTTATTTTTCCCTAAGATTTCAGCTTAAGCATCGTTGCTTCAAGGAAGGCTTCTTTTATATACTTGCTTACCACCACAGGCCTCTTTTTCTCATTTCTTGAAATAGTTTTACAATTTGTGAAATTAATTGGCTGAGTCCCCAGCAAAATAAGCTCATTAAAGTCAGGGTGTGTGTATATTGGGGGGGGCGGTCTTTTTTTTTGAGACAGAGTCTCGCTCTGTCACCCAGGCGGGAGTGCAGTGGCGCGATCTCTGCTTACTGCAAGCTCCGCCTCCCGGGTTCACACCATTCTCCTGCCGCAGCCTCCCAAGCAGCTGGGACTACAGGCGCCTGCTACCACGCCCGGCTAAATTTTGTATTTTTAGTAGAGACGGGGTTTCACCGTGTTAGCCAGGATGGTCTCGATCCCCTGACCTCGTGATCCACCCGCCTCGGTCTCCCAAAGTGCTGGGATTGCAGGCGTGAGCCACCGCGCCCGGCCTATTGGGGGTCTTTTTTGCATTATCACTGTATCCCTACACTCAGCACAGTACTAGGTTCATACAGGAAGGGGTTAATAAATATGTGATTAATATCTATTGTCCCTTCACATTCAGGGTGCCAAATTCAAAGGCTGTTTCTTCTCAATGTTTTATTATTCAGGCCACCACTAGCACAATCCTTTGAAAATAATTTTTTTTTTTTTTTTTTTTTTTTTTTTTTTTGAGACGGATTCTCGCTCTGTCGCCCAGGCTGGAGTGCAGTGGCGCGATCTCGGCTCACTGCAACCTCCGCCTCCCGGGTACACGCCATTCTCCTGCCTCAGCCTCCCGAGTAGCTGAGACTACAGGCGCCCGCTGCCACGCCCGGCTAATTTTTGGTATTTTTAGTAGAGTCAGGGTTTCACCGTGTTAGCCAGGATGGTCTCGATCTCCTGACCTCGTGGTCCGCCCACCTCGGCCTCCCAAAGTGCTGGGATTACAGGCGTGAGCCACCGCGCCTGGCCGAAAATAGATTTTTATAAGGTAAAAGATTTTATTAAGTACCATTTGGTAAAAAAAGATTGAATGAGGAATTTAGTACCTAGGCCCATCATCATAAACGTGAGTATTTTTACTGTTTTCCATGAAGAGACTATAATTATCACATGAAGTAATTCTCCATAAGGATTACAAAACATATGAGTTGTTTCATTATTAAATGGTGCTTACTATTAAAAAGATACTTTACATGGAGAACTAATTCCACCAAAGTGAGTAGGTATAAAATAGAGCAAAAATATTGAACTTAATCATTTATTCTTCAACAAGTGCTTATTATGCAAATAGCAGCAATCTGCTTTTACATTATCTTTTTCCCTTTATCACCAGATGAGAAATTTCTCCCCATTATCATTTTGTGTAATTTCACTTGTTCTTGTGTAAATACTTCTGTTTGGTTTTTAATAAAAATTGCTCAGTGGCAAATATTACAGAAAAACCAAGGTTTTTATTCTTGATAATTTACTGATAGTCTAGTGTTAACAAAATTATTACAGGTGGGAATGCTTCCTTTTTTCGTAAGTATTAACAACTTGTATATACACTAATTACAACTTCAAAATATTTTACACAAATATTCTTTTTCATATTAGTATCTAACTTAATTATCTCAGCAACAGCATTAGTATAGCATGGACTACTATAAACCAAACATCTTCAAAGTAAAAACTTGCAAATATCTTGCTGAAAATAGAAAAGTTGAAACCAAGATACTGCCAATATAAAAATGTAAAGCAGGGAAATGTTTTACCACTGCCATCTTCCCTATATTCTTTCTCTAATGTAACCTCCAAACTGTAACCTCAGCATATCAAAAGAATTTTCAAAGAGAAAACTAATCCTAAATTTCATGTTTAATAACATATGCCTTGTATAGGGAACATTCTCTTAACCATTTTTTAATCACTACAACCCAGAAAGACATGGTTTGGTCTAAAATTTTCACCAGTTTGTTATAAATAAAATGTATTCATAAGTAGAACTTTCTTCAGAATGTATTTTTTTTAAGAGACAAGGTCTTACTTACTATGTTGCCCAGGCTGGAGTGCAGTGGTTATTCACAGGCACGATCCCACAACCGATCAGCATGGGAGTTTTTATGTATTGTAGTGCAAAAATGTAGGAATGTCTAGCTTTTTTGATGTCAAAGTTGTAATTTAGGGATTTACTTGAAGAGTGTCAAGAGATTCTCAAACACACAAAATGCTGCTAGGAAATTACAGTTGAACCTTGAACACCACAAATTTGAATAGTGCGGGTCAACTTACATGCAATTTTTACTTTTTTTTTCTTTTCTGAGACAGGGTCTCACTCTGTCGCCCAGGCTGGCATGCAGTGGTGTGATCGCGGCTCACTGCAGCCTCAACCTCCCAGGCTCAAGCAATTCTCCTGCCTCACAGCCTCCTGAGTAGCTGGGACCACAGGCAGGTGCCACATGCCCAGCTAATTTTTCTTTTGTAGAGATGGGGTCTCACTACGTCGACCAGGCTGATTTTGAACTCCTGGCCACAAAACAGTCCTCCCGCCTCAGCCTTCCAAAGTGCTGGGATTACAGGTATGATACTGTACCCAGGCATACAAACAATTTTTTTTTCCCAAACAAACTAGGATTGAAAATACAGTACTGTCAGGATGCAAAACCCATATAAATGATAGGCCTACTTTTTGTATACTTGGATTCTGCAGGGAAGACTGTGAGACTTGAGTATGGGTGGAATTTGGTATGCAGTGGTTCTGGTACCAATCCCCTTCGTATATAGAGGAACAGCTGTACACAAATGAGGAATGAAGCACTTCTAATTCAGGGTATTTTCTAAATTAAAGTATTATTATGATTTTTTCAGAGGCAGGATCTCGCTATCTTGCCCAGGCTGGTCTACAACTCCTGGGTTCAAGCAATCCTCCTGCCATGGCCTCCCAAAGTTCTGGGATTACAGGCATGAGCCACCATGCCTGGCTGTAATTCAATTTTTAAAGGGAAATTTAAAAATAGTATAAGGCTCAAAGGTTCAATTAAAGAAACCATTTATGAAGGAGAATAATAAAATATTACTTTGTGTACATATGTCAGTGCAGAGAATTGGGTAAGGGTGATTTTTAGCTCTGTTAAGACTTGCTTCAGAATGCCATACCACAGTCTGAAAGAATCATATGAAAGTAAGATATTATTTTAAAAACAAAAGTGCCGGGCACGGTGGCTTAAGCCTGTAATCCCAGCACTTTGGGAGGCCAAGGTGGGTGGATCACCTGAGGTCAGGAGTTTAAGACCAGCCTGGCCAACATGGTGAAACCCTGTCTCCATTAAAAATTTAAAAAATTAGCTGGGCGTGGTGGCGGGCACCGGTAATCCTAGCTATTAGGGAGGCTGAGACATGAGAATTGCTTGAACCCAGGAATCAGAGGTTGCAGTGAGCTGAGATTGCGCCACACACTCCAGCCTGGGCGAGAGAGCAAGACTCCGTCTCCAAAAAAAAAAAAAAAAAAAAAAAAAGGGTCACAATTCCCTAAAGCCTAAAACTGGATAAAATGTGCACTAACAAAAATGAATATTTAGAAGTATTCAACTAGTTTTGTTCACTATGAAAAATAATTTTAAGTTGTAGAAGCATTATTTCATTCAACATTTTGTTACATCACAAAATTTTTAAATGACTAAATTTTAAACAATATTTAAACAAAAATATTTACTTCACATTTTAATTCAATGCAAATTTTCACTAATTTAGAAGTCTATGTTAATACAGATTGAGTATACCCTTTCCAAAATGCTTGGGACCAGAGTTTCTCAGGTTTCAGACTTTTTCAGATTTTGGAATATGTGCAGAAATACAGTGGTTGAGTTTTCCTAATCCAAAAATCTGAAATGCAAAATGCTCCAATGAACATTTCCTTTAAAGTGTCACATCGGCACTCAAAAATGTTCTTATCTGAAGCATTCTGAATTTTGGATTGGGGTGCTCAATGGCTGTATGAGTATTTGGGGAATTCCTGGAAATGGACACATTATTACATATAAAACTGTCTTACAGACCTTAGAAATAAGGTTTTACAATGGTTCATAAGCTTTACAAATCTTCCTAAACTACTTTTTAAAAAACAATGCTTAATTATATAGATTTTGATTTTTTTTTTTTTTTTTTTTGAGACGGAGTCTCACTCTGTCACCTAGGCTGGAGTGCAGTGGCACGATCTTGGCTCACTGCAACCTCTGCCTCCCGGGTTCAAGCGATTCTCCTGCCTCAGCCTCCCAAGTAGCTGGGACTACAGGCGCCCGCCACCATGCCCGGCTAATTTATTGTATTTTTAGTAGAGACGGGGTTTCACCATGGTCTTGATCTCCTGATCTCGTGATCCACCCGCCTCGGCCTCCCAAAGTGCTGGGATTACAGGCGTGAGCCACCGCGCCCGGCCCAGTTCTGTTTTTTTGTTTTGTTTTGTTTTGTATTTTGTGTTTTTCTTGAGATGGAGTTTCACTCCTGTTGCCCAGGCTGGAGTGCAATGGCGCGATCTCAGCTCACCGCAACCTCTGCCTCCTGGGTTCAAGCAATTCTCCTGTCTCAGCTTCCCCAGTAGCTGAGATTACAGGTATGCACCACCATGCCTGGCTAATTTTGTATTCTTAGTAGAGATGGGGTTTCTCCACATTGGTCAGGCTGGTCTCAAACTCCCAACCTCAGGTGATCCACCTGCCTCGGCCTCCCAAACTGCTGGGATTACAGGCGTAAGCCACCATGCCCAGCCTGTTTTAAAAATTCTAATGAACTGGCCTGGTGCGGTGGCTGACACCTGTAATCCCGGCACTTTGGGAGGCTGAGGCGGGCGGATCACGAGGTCAGGAGATCGAGACCATCCTGGTTAACACGGTGAAACCCCATCTCTACTAAAAATACAAAAAATTAGCCAGGCATGGTGGTGGGCGCCTGTAGTCCCAGCTACTCGTGAGGCTGAGGCAGAAGAATGGTGCAAACCCGGGAGGCAGAGCTTGCAGTGAGCCGAGATCGTGCCATTGCACTCCAGCTTGGGTGACAGAGTGACTCTGTCTCAAACAACAACAACAAAATTCTAATTAATAATTAGATTGGAAATCATTATTTAAAAAATTAGTTATGACTCAGAAAATATTATTATATAAAAATTCAAGGAGAGGACATTATTAGGGTCATCTTACCATTATTAGCCATAGCAGTACTGTGTCTTGCACACATCTACAAATCATGGTTTTTTTTTTTTTTTTTTTTTTTTTTGAGAGAGTCTTGCTCTGTTACCCAGGCTGGAGTGCAATGGCACAATCTTGGCTCACTGCAACCTCCACCTCCAAGGGTTCAAGCGATTCTCCCTGCCTCAGCCTCCTGAGTAGCTGGGATTATACAGGCGCCTGCCACCACGCCCGGCTAATTTTTGTATTTTTAGTAGAGACGGGGTTTCGCCATGTTGGCCAGGCTGGTCTCAAACTCCTGACTCAAGCTGCTCATCCACTTTGGCCTCCCAAAGTGCTGGGATTACAGGCGTGAGCCACTGTGCCTGGCCTACAAATCCTGTTTTTAAACTGACAATCTGTTCTAACTACTTTGCTCATTAGCACACGAAAATGATACTGGTTGAGTTCGAAACATTGTAATTTGTATTTATAGAAACCCTAAGTAAGATAGTTCCCAAGATTAAATGCTATTTTAAAATACTTTTTGGAACAAAAATACCTCATTTTATCTTATATCATTAGGAGTAAACATGATCCATATAAGTGATTTTTAAAATTCATACCTTAAAGCAATGATAGTTTTTAAAAATTAAACCATTTTTTAATAGAGGTGATCTTAAAATACCTTCATTTATTGCCTTGTAAAATTCTACCTCCTGGTCCTGACCCCCAAGCTTTCTGTGAAAGATTCCAGGGTCAACACTATGAATGTCAAATATTATAATCCATTATAACAAAGTATTAACCTCAGCAATTTCTTAAGTGTAACAAATGTTTATCTTACGGTTGCTGCTTCTGTAGGCATAGATATTTCCTGATTACTTCATATTATTCTAACTTCTAGAAGTCCTGTCCCTCTGGTGCTTCTCACCTGTTTTTAAAAAAATCAGTACATGTAATTTTCTACATTATTCTAGCTCAAAAGTGCTCCACACTTTTTCTGCAGCTTAAAATAAGTTTTTCTTTCTTTCCTTTTGGGATTAGGGGAAAGGAAGACGGCTGGGCTTGATAACACACTCATTTGTAGGTTTGCTTCAGAGGTGCTGGATATTTCCTGATGGGTAAGTTTGCTAAAGAAATACATACCAAGAGGTCGCCATGTTATCATACTGAGGACAGCAGGAAACTCTTCCAGGTGAGACCAGAAAGGATAATACAATAATTTGCTAATAGTTAACAGACATTTGATATTTTATGGACATAAATAAAATGATTTACCTACTTTACAAAGTAATATTAACTACAGGTGTATCTAAAAACCTATGAAATTATTTGCAACAAATATTTCACTGATAAAAATTTCTTAATATTTCCCTTAGCAAAAACTGTACATTTGTTAGAGAGTACCTGATACTTGTTAAAATATCAAGTAATACAGGACATGGTGCTGTAAAACAAAACACACAACTGGGAAGTATTTTATTTTTTCTACTTCATATAACATTGTTCAACACCACAAGATTTTAAAGGTCTCTTTCCCCAACTTTTATGATTTAGAAGTACCACTTAAAAATATTTACTGATGCTGTAAATATTACTGTTTTTGTACATAGTAAAGATTTTAATGAATGCCATATCCATTATACCTCTTGCTCCTTTGGTCAGAAAGATAAACAGAAACTTTAAATCAGATGTTTGGACATTCAAAAATGGTTTTGAAAAGTATACCCAAACAAACCAAATATATATCAGCAACTATTAAAAATCAGTTTTAGTAGTTATTAAGAATTCTTAACAAGGAAGTATCGAAGCATGTGTGAGATTTTAAAAACTATATACAATTTTAAAAACAAATTTAAATTTTTAAATAAAAAAGATTAATGGCCAAATTAAAAAGTTTGTGCATCAGATTTAATATCTTAATGTTTATCAGAAATATATTTTGTGAGTAAGAATTATTTCATAAATATATATGTATAAATATAAATATATATCTGCAGGATCTGTGATGCTGGAGAAAACATTTTGAAGAAAAAAATTGCACTTTTGATTATCAAGATATTGTCAAATTTACCCTTTAAGTGAAATATAATTACCAATCCAGGTGCTTTTGGCACAAGTTTTTAGGTGAATATCGACACAATCTTAAAAACACAATGCTTTTGTATTTTATTCACTGGAATATGGAGAATCAAACAGAATTTAAAATTCTGACCCAAAAATCCCAGATAACTGCAATTGCTTAATTAAATACAAAAAAAAATTGTTTTAAAAAGCGCTTAGACTTCCCTTTCCATCTGGAACATGTAAAATTTTGCAGCAACAGGTTTTCTCCAATTCCTTCAGCAAGAATTCCCAGCCTACACACAAATTTAACACCATCTTTTTCTATTCATGTATAACTTGGATCACACACCAGTATATAACGACAAAAAATAAATGTATAATAAAAAGATTGGATAAATCAGAAGAGGCTTTTTGGTCTTGAATTCTTCACCCACTAACAATGAAGCAGCACTGTAGGCAGCCCAAAACACACCAAACAGCTTTAAAAAAAGGAAAAAAGACAAAAGGCAGCATATTAGCAAGTCAATTAACTTTTTGGATATCATAGAGTAAAAATGGTGTTTACAATATTTTTAAAAAATCAACAACCAATTTTGGTAAATAGTAAAACTTGTTACAAATGTTAAAAACTTATTAAGAATGTCCATCTTTGCTCTACTCCTTGACTTCTGTAAATGTGGTCTTATCAAACCAGTCTAATCATAAGAATCACTTGGGGTGCCTATTAAAAAGACTTGGGGGACTCTCTAGTTCTGTTAAATTATAACTTATTGTTTCTTTTTCTTTGAGCTATAATTTCTAAGGGAAGGATCTAGTTATCAGTATTTTAAATAAGTTCCCTGGTGATTATGATTAGGCAACTTTTGAAAAAACTATTATTATACCAAATTACTGAGAGAAAACTAATTCCTGCAAAGTAGGAAATTTTCCTTTTCCTTCTAAATAAGAAAATCGATTAAGTAAAAATTTTATACAATATTTATTAAGTCTTAATATTTATTAAGTTTTTTCCCAGGAATAGGCAGAAATACAGGGTTGAATAAAAAGGAGATAAAAAGATCACATTTTGTCAAGAGTTTAAATAAAGTATACTATAGTTTTTGGATCACATACATACATACTTTTAAATTATTTCTACTGGAAACTTATGCAATACTTATTGATGTAGTCACCTAACACATTTTATAGCATAAAATTAAGGAAAAACTTCAAGGAAATTCAGGGAAACTCTAATAGGAACAGACCTGGCACAAGGCAGAGTTTCTAAACCTTGCAATATTGACGTTTTAGGCTGCGTACTTCTTGGCTGTGGGGAGCTATCCTGTGCATTGTAGGATGGTTAGCAGCATTCCTGCTCTCTACACACTATATACTAGTCACACTCCTCAAAAATGCCTCCAGATGTTGACAAATGTCCCCTGGGGGACAAAATCTACCTCAGTTGAGAATCACTGGTATACAGGTAAAAAATAAATATTGGCAAACTTATTAAAAATGTATTTGGTCTGGTCCATCTTTCCACTGGGTTTGTTGAACTTAAAAAAAAAAAAAGTAACCCTATGAAATAATTCAAACATACACAAAAGTACAGGGAAATATATAAAATAAAATTTGATCAAACTGCATTTGTATTTCATGATTAGATTTTTTTCATTATAAATGCTTACAGAGTGATAAGTATTACAGAGATTTAATGTTAAATAAAATCACTGCACTTAAACTATATACTCTAATGCTGGAGTTTACTGATTAGTTTCGCATCATATTTCTCAACAAAACTCAGACTGAAATAAGAAACGTGAAATAGCTCACTACTCACAGAAGATTAAATGATCAGGAAAAAAATTTTGGCAAAGAATAATCTGAAGTTTAAAAACAATTTTACTCTAAATTTTTAATGATATAAAAAAGAGTTTTCCATTTTATAATACATTTATATGTTGTATAAAGAATATTTAGGTCCAACTTTAAGATAACTATATGATTAAAGATGACCACAGAACAATAGTTTTAACCATTTTGGGAGTAGTCTCAGAAACAAGCTTAACCCAAGTGAAAAAACACACACCAGGAAATGATGGTAAGTGAGTGGTATGTTCACTAAGGCTGGAATAGGAATAATTAAATGTCTGCTGCAACGTTAAGACTTTAAACTAAGTTCTAATAATGCCAATTTCAAAAAAAGGCTTTAGGGTTATACTGAATAGGAAAACAAGGTATCTTTAGTCTCTGAAGTATTTAAACACAAAGATGATCTCAAAATATTACAATTTGGGTTTTTATTGAGACAAGGTCTCACTGTCACCTACACTGGAGTACAATGGTACGATCACTGCTCACTGCAGCCTCAACCTCTTGGGCTCAGGCGATCCTCCCATCTCAGCCTCCTGAGTAGCTAGGACTAACAGGTGCATGCCACCATGCCCGGCTAATTTTTGTATTTTTGGAGAAATGGTTGAGTCTCGAACTGGGCTCAACTGATCCACCTGCCTCGGCCTGCCAAACTGCTGGGATTTACAACAGTAAGCCACCATACCTGGCCTATTTTATAATATTTGTAATAACAACAGCTTGAGTGCCTACTCTGTGCCAAGCACTGTACTAGGCAGAGACAGGGTCTCACTCTGTCACCTAGGCTGGAGTGCAGTGGTGCAATCATGGCTCACTACAGCCACGGCCTCATGGGCCCAAGCAATCCTCCCACCTCAGCCTCCCAAGGAACTGGGACCACAGGTACCCGCCACCACACCTGGCTAAATTTTGTAGAGATGGAGTTTCGCCACGTTGCCCAGGCTGATTGATTTCAAACTCCTGAGCTCAAGTAATCCATTCGCCTCAGCCTCCCAAAGTGCTGGGATTATAGGCGGTAGCCACCATGCCTGATCAGCATTATATATAAACTCTTTGTAACGAACCCTAAAATATAGTTAAGTTTACCATTGTTAAGAACAAATTGAGGGTAAGAAAAGTTAAGATACCTCGGAAGACCAGACAGCAAGTAAGTGGCAGAACCAGGGTTTGAATTTAGAACTGATTAGTTCCAAAAACCACACATTTTCGATTCCCAATGCTTATTATCAGTATCAGCGTATAGTTTCCAAATTCTAAAAGGAATCATTATTTCTTTTATATTGAAATTAGTAATAATTTCAAGTGGCTCAGCTACTTAAAAACAAATACTTTCATGTGGAAGCTACATAACAGCAGTTCTGAAAGTCACAGTCTTTAAAAGTTCTGTTCTCCATAAAGAACAAACTTATATTCACTGTGTAATATACATATATGTGTCAAAGCAGTCATTTATTTCCCAAAGTTGTTCGACATTAATAAATTCCAATGTTTAAGTTACACTACTATTTATTAATACTTTTATCAGTAAATATTTAAATATATGTATATATGTTGATTTAACATAAATAACACAAAGAAGTCCTGATCTCTGCACTACGGAAAATCCAATTTATTAGAACCACATCTATCATATTTGATAGGAAAGTTACTATTCAAACAGGAGTAGCAGTTACTAAATAAATGTCCAGTGGAATTTTAAATAAATATCCCCCTCAAAATCTGTCAGATGAACTCATATTATAAATACAGAAAATAAATTTTAAATCCAACATTTAAAAAATGCTGACCAGCCGGGAGCAGTGGCTCACGCTTGTAATCCCAGCACTTTGGGAGGCTGAGGCGGGTGGATCACAAGGTCAGGAGTTCGAGACCAGCCTGGACAATACGGTGAAACCCTGTCTCTACTAAAAACACAAAAATTAGCTAGGTGTGGTGGTGCGCACCTGTAGTCCCAGCTACATGAGAGGCTGAAGCAGAAGAATGGCTTGAACCCAGGAGGCAGAGGTTACAGTGAGCTGAGATCACGCCACTGCACTCCAGCCTGGGCGACAGAGCAAGACTCTGTCTCAAAAAAAAAAAAAAAGAAAGAAAGAAAAAGAAAAATGCTGACCAGGCCGGGTGTGGTGGCTCATGCCTGTAATCCCAGCACTTTGGGAGGCCAAGGCAGGCAGATCACCTGAGGTCAGGAGTTCAAGACCAGTCTGGCCAACATGGTGAAACCCCATCTCTACTAAAAACAAAAAATTAGCCAGGCATGGTGGCACACACATGTAGTCCCAGCTACTAGGAAGGCTGAGGCAGGAGAATCACATGAACCTGGGAGGCACTCCAGCCTTGGTGACAGATCGAGACTCCAGAAAACAAAACAAAAATCTGACTATAATATCCTGAAACCTGATTTGCTCTTTGTTTTTTCCCCCAGACAAACAGTAATATCTGGTGATTAAAAAGGAAAAAAAATGAAAGAAATATAACTGGCAAAATCAGTAAGGAAGGTCACTTCCAAAATACTACCAACTGTTTGATAAAGAGTTTTATATCACAATATTCCTAGCTAGAGGCCTAGTATACTTTTGACATTGGAAAACAGTAAACTATGTAATACATAATCCTTAACTTACTTTTATAAGTGTAGACACCACTTCAAATGATCCAACCACCAAAAGTACAGGGGCTATTACAATGAGAGGAAGTAATGAATATCCTATAACTCCAAGGACTTGGCCATATGCAACCTGTGAATTTTGAAAATTTCAAATAAATATCATTGAAATCAAGATACTCATTTTAATCAAAATTGAACACCATATATTCCTTGCTGTATTCAAATAAATGTGAGCATTAAGAAGAAATCATAAACTATTATACTCATTATTTCAAAATATCATATAGTCTCCCATGTTCCTGGGCAGTCTCACCAACCAACATGGTTTCAATTAAAATAAATTTGCTGATAATACCCAAATCTATATTTCCAGCATTTACCTCTCTCTTGAGTTTCATACTACCTTCAGTATATCTCTACATTACATTTTGTCACTACTTCCCCTAAATTGTAGAATTATTTAAAGGGACTACAACCATCCCATTCAGATGAAAAATCCAAGGTCTAGAGAACCTAGATGTTACCAATGCCGACCAGAAGGAAAGGGAAGGTAGCCAGGAGAGACTGAAGAGAAAAATATTTTTTAGTGACTACTTTATGCCAAGTTCTGTGATAGGGCTTCACATGCTGTGGAGAGTAAATGAAATAACAATCCTATGAAATATAGGCATTATTGTCCCTATTGTGAAGAAATCGATTCTTAGAGAGAAACACTGCTTTGCTCCGGAAAGCAAAGCTAGTAAGGTGTCAGTGTTCAAATTAAAATGTAGGCCCCTAAACTCCTACATCAACATTCCTGAATTACCAAAACACGTAATGATACATATTTTCATATAAATATTATACTAGGTTTTGTCTAGGACATAAGAAATAATATATAAACAAATATACTTTAAGTGTCTATTAGAATTATTTTAAATTTCCATATGCAGAGTAAAAAGGTTTCACAGATGTTACTCTAAATTTATTCAAGAGTTTTATTAAGATGCTCGATTGAACATATATTCTAATATCATTCACTTCTGAAACTGAAAATAGAAGGGATAAAAGAAACTCTTTTTTTTTTTTTTTTTTTTTAAAGACGGAGTCCTCCTCTGTCGCCCACACTGGAGTGCAGTGGCGCGATCTCGGCTCACCGCAACCTCCGCCTCCCGGGTTCAAGAGATTCTTCTGCCTCGGCCTCCTGAGTAGCTGGGACTACAGGCGCGTGCCTCCATGCCCGGCTAATTTTTTTATCTTTTTTTTGAGACGGAGTTTCGCTCTTGTTGCCCAGGCTAAAGTGCAATGTTGCGATCATGGCTCACCACAACCTCCGCCTCCCGGGTTCAAGAGATTCTCCTGCCTCAGCTTCCCGAGTAGCTGGGATTGCAGGCATGTGCCACCACATCCAGCTAATTTTGCATTTTTAGTAGGGATGGGGTTTCTCCATGTTGGACAGGCTGGTCTCAAACTCCCAACCTCAGGTGATCCACCCGCCCCGGCCTCCCAAAGTGCTGGGATGACAGGCGTGAGCTACCGCGCCCAGCAATTTTTGTATTTTTAGTAGAGACGGGGTTTCACCACACTGGCCAGGCTAAAACAAAAAACAAAAAAACTACTCCTGGGCTCAAGTGATCCTCCTGCCTCAGCCTCCCAAGTAGCTGGGACTACAGGCATGCGCCAGCACACCCAGCTCAAAACTCCTTATTTATTTAATTTATTTAAGACAAGATTTCACCGTCGGCCAGGCTACAGTGCAGTGGCACGAACACAGCTCACCACAGCCATAACCCCTCAGGCTCAGGCAAGTCTCCTGCCTCAGTCCCTAGTAGCTGGGACCACAGGCACACACCACTATGCCTGGATAATTTTTAAAGAGATAGGGTCTCCCTACGTTGCCCAGGCTGGTATTGGAACTCCTGGGCGCAAGTGATCCTCCTGCGTCAGCCCCCCAAAGTGCTGGGACTACAGGTATGAGCCACGGCGCCCAGCCCCCTTGAGTTCTGGTGTGATATCAGAGAATATTCACCATCATCTGAAAAGGTTATTAAAATACTCTCCCTTTTCAATTATATACCTGTATAAAGCCTTATTTTCTTCAGATACTTTAGCCAAAACAATATATCTTAACAGATTGAATGGAAAAAGCATGTATTAGAATCCAATTTCCATTCAGCCAGATATTAAAGCTACTTACAAAAATGTAAAATAATGCTACTCTTCTAACTCTTTTGTTTTGGAAAATATGGTTATTTTTCTTTAAATGTATTGTTTATGTTAAAATGTAGTTGGTTTATTGTTACAAATCTCTTTGGCAACCTGAGATCAAAGTTTGAGAATTTCTGTAAGAATAAATTCTGGCTGGGCACAGTGGTTCACACCGGTAATCCTAGCACTTTGCGAGGCTGAGGCAGATCACTTGAGATCGGGAGTTTGAGACCAGCTTGACCAACATGGTGAAACTCCATCTCTACTAAAAATACAAAAATTAGTTGGGCAGGGTGGCAGGTGCTTGTAATCCTAGCTACTCGGGAGGCTAAGGCAGGAGAATCGCTTGAACCCAGGAGGTGGAGGTAGCAGTGAGCCGAGATTGTGCCACTGTACTCCAGCCTGGGTGACAGAGCGAGACTCCATCTCAAAAAAAAATAATAATAATAAATAAATAAATAAATTTTGTCTGGGCGCAGTAGCTCACTCCTGTAATCCCAGCACTTTGGGAGGCTAAACAGGCAGATCGCTTGAGGTTGGGAGTTCAAGACCAGCCTGGCCAACATGGTGAAACCCTGTCTCTACTAAAAATTCAAAAATTAGCCGGGCATAGTGGCACATATCTATAATCCCAGCTACTCGGAAGGCTGAGGCAGGACAATCGGGAACCTGGGAGGCGGAGGCTGCAATGAGCCGAGATTGCCCCACTGCACTGCAGCAGGATGACAAAGCAAGATTCCATTTCAAATAAATAAATAAAAAATAAATAAATTATATGCTTCCCTAAAAGGCTGCAATTACTTCATAAATGGGACGGGATATTTTCTTTTTCCTCATTTCTTGTACTATTTATTGAGTAAGCACAATACTAATATGTTGATCATCTTAAAGGAACTAGCATAAAGCAATTCTGGGACAAGAAAGTTTCTTGTATAGCTAATGATGATATCTGCAGTATCAAAAACTAAGCTCACCATAAATAAGGAAGATTATTTTCAAAATAAACTACTTACTTCTCCACCAAGAACTCTGGCCAGTAAGAAAATTGTTAGTGAACCAAATATCCAAATGGTTATAATCCATGAGACCACCTTAGGGGGAAAAATCATGCAATTAATATTTTTATACCAAATAAGATGATAATTTTCCAGGAACTCGATTCTCTGCCATAAATGACAGTTTAGCATGCCCAATTTCAGGTCATAGAGAGATTATGTGGGCTCTCAGGTATTACTCCAAAACTTAATAAGAATACAATGTGTAATACAATTTTACATCCAAATTAAAATCTTAGCAATTATCAATTGCCTAAAGAAACCTCAGTATTTCAAAATCTATGATAAAAGATTATTGCAAAAAAAAAGTGTTTACTATCAACCCCCTGTCTTACAGCATCCCAGAAGAAAAATTTATTTCTGAAGCAAGTTACCAATCTTCTCTGGAAGTCTTTAAAATTTAGATTACATATTTATTCAAGTAATGGAATATGGAAGCCATTTCAGACAATTTTAAACTCCTCAAACTTGGTGTAACAATACATACATATATTTGTATTTTGAAGCTGTCTGCTGGAATGGTCTAGAAATAATACCCCAGTAGCAACATAAGCACATTTATCACCCAGATACTGGTTTCTTTTATTATTTATTATTTTATTTATGTATTTATTTAATAGAGACGAGGTCTTGCTATGTTATTTGGTCATGTACTTATTTATTTAATAGAGACCAGGTCTCACTATGTTGCCCAGGCTGGTCTCGAACTCCTGAGCTCAAGTGATCCTCCTACCTCAGCCTCCCAAAGTGCTGGGATTACAGGAGTGAGCCACCATGACCAACCCCAGAAACTGGTTTCTAAGTATCATTTCCTAATTAAAGGAAGTAGGACTTCTTAAAGAAATGGTTGGCCAGGCACAGTGGCTCACGCCTGTCATTCCAGCACTTTGGGAGGCTGAGGCAGGCAGATAACCTGAGGTCGGGAGTTCAAGACCAGCCTGACCAACATGGAGAAACCCTGTAAAAAAAAATACAAAATTAGCCGGGCATGGTGGCACATGCCTGTAATCCCAGCTATTCCGGAGGCTGAGGCTGGAGAATCGCTTGAACCTGGGAGGCAGAGGTTGCGGTGAGCCAAGATTGCGCCATTGCACTCCAGCCTGAGCGACAAGAGTGAAACACCATTTCAAGAAAAAAAAAAACAAAAAAACGGTTGATTCCAAGGCTGGGGCAGGCAAAATACAAGATTAGCCCAGAACACTGTGTGAAGTAAGAAGGAAAGGAAGTACTCAAAAAAAGAATGGGATATGTTGAAACGAGACAGAATGCAAGCTGAAGGAGCTCCCAATGGTTAAAGCTTGAAAAATCTGAGCGATGAAATAAATTATGACAGTACTGGATTATAACTCAAATAAAATGATTGAGGGAAACAGAAAAATCATCATTCTGTAAACATTATAGTAATAATTACTGCATGCAAGATCTACCAATGGATGCTAAAATTAGTAGGCTAAAGTTAGATGAGAAACAGGATATTTGCATAGTTGCAAAGTACCTCCATAAGCTATTTATTAATTACAAAGAGAAAAATAGTAACTTTATACTGGAGAAATTGAACAGATACTACCCTATCACCTAACCAAGTGATCAAGGTTAACATCACCAGTTATAAGACGTATCAGTATCACATACTCCCTGTTAGTATACAGAGAGCAGGACAATGTCACTTCTGTGATATTCTTGCCAAAAATGCATAATCCAAATCAAATCATGAGAAAACATCAAGGAAATCCAAAATGAGTGACGTTCTATGATGGTATAGTAATCTTCTGGGGTTTTTTTTCCTTTTTTTTTTTTTTGAGACTGAGTCTTGCTCTGTCACCCAGGCTGGAGTGCAGTGGCGTGATCTCGGCTCAATGCAATCTCCACCTCCCGGGTTCAAGCAATTCTCTGCCTCAGCCTCCTGAGTAGCTGGGATTACAGGCACCTGCTACCACGCTCAGCTAATTTTTGTATTTTTAGGAGAGATGGGGTTTCACCATGTTGGCCAGGCTGGTCTTGAACTCCTGACCTCATCATGATCCACCCGCCTCGGTCTGTAGGCATGAGCCACTGCGCCCAGCCGTAATCTTCTGTTTTTAACCTTAGAACCCTTTGTTCAAATGAAAGATTATACAAAACAGATACAATTAGAGATGTTCTAGATGAAGAACCAGTGGTAGGTAGGAGACCAGAGTCCCCATTCACCTTCTTCAGTGGTCTTTGCAACACTTTAACATAACATCTGATATAAACTACTAATCTAGTGTAAATATTAATAGGACTAGTATAGTAATGCATCAAGTATCTTGTGATGGAGAGATTATTCTGGATTACCTTGCTGGGCCCTAAATGTAGTAACAATTGTCCTTAAAAGATGAAAACTGAGGCTGGGCACAGTGGTTCACACCTGTAATCCCAGCACTTTGGGAGGCCAAGGTAGGTGGATCACCTGAGATCAGGAGTTTGAGACCAGCCTGACTAACATGGTGAAACCCCCTCTCTACTAAAAATACAAAATTAGCTGGGGGTGGTGGGGCATGTCTGTAATCCCAGCTATGTAGGAGGCTGAGGCAGAAGAATCACTTGAACCCGGGAGGCAGAAAGTGCAGTGAGCTGAGATCGTGCCATTGCACTCTAGCCTGGGCAGCAAGAGTGAAACTCCGTCTAAAAAAAAAGATGGAAACTGAAGGAGATTTAAGTACATTAGAGGGGAAGGTAATGTGATCATGGAAACAGAGATCATAGTGACGCAGCCAGAAGCCAAGGAATGCTGGCAGCCTCTGGAAGTGAAAGAAACAAGCAACAGATTCTGCCCTGGAGCTTCCACAGGAACCAGCCCTGTAGACATTTTGATCTTAGTCCTTTAAGACTCATTTTGGACTCCTGACATCCAGAACCGTAAAATAATAAATCTGTATTATTTAAAACCACTAAGCTTGTAGCAGTTTATTAGAGCAGCCACCAGAAACTCATTCATTTCCAAATCCCTGTGGTAAACAGTAACTTTTTACTCCTTCAAAGCCTTAAATTTGGCATGAGAGAGTGATGTATATATGTTGTGTTTTGGTGATAAAGTATCTGAAAGTAGGACAAAGGGATTAAAATACCAGTAGTAATATAAAAACAAATACTGATGGAATCCTTCTCATCATTCTTTTAAAGTAACGGTCATTTTAAGAACAGAATTATGAGTCAATAAAAGGTAAGAAATATGGCCCTCCCCCTCCCCCTCCCCCTCTCCCTCTGATGCCGAGCCGAAGCTGGACTGTACTGCTGCCATCTCGGCTCACTGCAACCTCCCTGCCTGATTCTCCTGCCTCAGCCTGCCGAGTGCCTGCCATTGCAGGCGCACGCCGCCACGCCTGACTGGTTTTTGTATTTTTTTGGTGGAGACGGGGTTTCGCTGTGTTGGCCGGGCTGGTCTCCAGCTCCTAACCACGAGTGATCCGCCAGCCTCGGCCTCCGGAGGTGCCGGGATTGCAGACGGTGTCTGGTTCACTCAGTGCTCAATGGTGCCCAGGCTGGAGTGCAGTGGCGTGATCTCGGCTCGCTACAACCTCCACCTCCCAGCCGCCTGCCTTGGCCTCCCAAAGTGCCGAGAATGCAGCCTCTGCCCGGCCGCCACCCCGTCTGGGAAGTGAGGAGCGTCTCTGCCTGGCCGCCCATCGTCTGGGATGTGAGGAGCCCCTCTGCCTGGCTGCCCAGTCTGGAAAGTGAGGAGCGTCTCTGCCCGGCCGCCATCCCATCTAGGAAGTGAGGAGCCCCTCTTCCCGGCCGCCATCCCATCTAGGAAGCGAGGAGCGTCTCTGCCCGGCCGCCCATCGTCTGAGATGTGGGGAGCGCCTTTGCCCCGCCGCCCCGTCTGGGATGTGAGGAGCGCCTCTGCTCGGCCGCGACCACGTCTGGGAGGTGAGGAGCATCTCTGCCCAGCCGCCCTGTCTGAGAAGTGAGGAGCCCGTCCGCCCGGCAGCCGCCCCGTCTGAGAAGTGAGGAGCCCCTCCACCCGGCAGCCGCCCCGTCTGAGAAGTGAGGAGCCCCTCCGCCCAGCAGCCACCCCGTCTGGGAAGTGAGGAGTGTCTCTGCCTGGCAGCCACCCCGTCCGGGAGGGAGGTGGGGGTCAGCCCCTGCCAGGCCAGCCGACCCGTCTGGGAGGGAAGTGGGGGGGTCAGCGTCCCGCCTGGCCAGCCACCCTGTCCGGGAGGTGAGGGGCGCCTCTGCCCAGCCGCCCCTACTGGGAAGTGAGGAGCCCCTCTGCCCGGCCAGCCGCCCTGTCCGGGAGGGAGGTGGGGGGATCAGCCCCCTGCCCAGCCAGCCGCCCCGTCCGGGAGGGAGGTTGGGGGGGTCAGCCCCCCGCCCGGCCAGCCGCCCCGTCCGGGAGGGAGGTGGGGGGGGTCAGCCCCCCGCCCGGCCAGCCGCCCCGTCCGGGAGGGAGGTGGGGGGGTCAGCCCCCCGCCTGGCCAGCCGCCCCGTCCGGGAGGTGAGGGGCGCCTCTGCCCAGCCGCCCCTACTGGGAAGTGAGGAGCCCCTCTGCCCGGCCAGCCGCCCCGTCCGGGAGGTTGGGGGGTCAGCCCCCCGCCCGGCCAGCCGCCCCTTCCGGGAGGTGAGGGGTGCCTCTGCCCGGCCTCCCCTACTGGGAAGTGAGGAGCCCCTCTGCCTGGCCACCACCCCGTCTGGGAGGTGTACCCAACAGCTCATTGAGAACGGGCCACGATGACAATGGCGGTTTTGTGGAACAGAAAGGGGGGAAAGGTGGGGAAAAGATTGAGAAATCGGATGGTTGCCGTGTCTGTGTGGAAAGAAGTAGACATGGGAGACACTTCATTTTGTTCTGTACTAAGAAAAATTCTTCTGCCTTGGGATCCTGTTGATCTGGGACCTTACCCCCAAACCTGTGCTCTCTGAAACATGTGCTGTGTCCACTCAGGGTTAAATGGGTTAAGGGCGGTGCAAGATGTGCTTTGTTAAACAGATGCTTGAAGGCAGCATGCTCGTTAAGAGTCATCACCACTCCCTAATCTCAAGTACCCAGGGACACAAACACTGCAGAAGGCCGCAGGGTCCTCTGCCTAGGAAAACCAGAGACCTTTGTTCACTTGTTTCTTTGTTCACTTGTTTATCTGCTGACCTTCCCTCCACTATTGTCCTATGACCCTGCCAAATCCCCCTCTGCGAGAAACACCCAAGAATGATCAATAAAAATAAATAAATAAATAAATAAAAATAAAAAAATAAAAATAAAAATAAAAATAATCAAAAAAAAGGTAAGAAATATGAATATGAGTATTACATTTCAAACTGTTCATCTCTTGGGAAAATCAGAAGGTGCACCTTCTAGTGACTTCTGGTCAGCTGGAAGTGGTTCTATTCATTTACCCCAGTGTGCCATACAAATACTAATATTTTCTTTTTTTTTTTTTTTTTTTTTGAGATGGAGTCTCACTCTGTCGCCAGGCTGGAGTGCAGTGGCGTGATCTTGGCTCACTGCAACCTCGGCCTCCCGGGTTCAAGTGATTCTCCTGCCTCAGCTTCCCGAGTAGCTGGGATTACAGGCGTGCACCACCACACCCAGATACTTTTTTTGTAGTTTTAGTAGAGACAGGGCTTCCACCATGTTGGCCAGGATGGTCTCAATCTCCTGACCCCGTGATCCACCCACCTCGGCCTCCCAAAGTGCTGGGATTACAGGCGTGAGCCACCACACCCGCCCACAAATACTAATACTTTCTATGTGAATCATGATGTGGAAAAGTTTGAAAGCATTAATCTAAGGTACTCCTCACTTATTTAATTATGGAACGGTTTTAGGGATGAACAAGTGAGAAATAATGGGTAAAGCATTTCTCAAACATAATATGGTATATTACAGTTAATATCTTATTATATTTAATTTTTGAAACTCTCAAAATATTTAGAATTTGTATAAAATAAGATATACTTACCCTAAACTGTCCATATAATGATATCATGGAAAAGAAAAGAACAACAGCCAGAGGACCCCAAAAGTCAGGATTGTCTCTCACCACTTGTCTATTAAAACCAAGTGATGGCATTGGCATCAAAACACATCGGATTTTGTAGTAAATATCCTTTAGATCAATGTCCAATTCTTCCCTATAATTTTAAAATAAAAATTCTCAAAAGGCACACATTTCTGAATACTAAAACAATTCCAAAAAAAAATTAAGAAAACTTTAAATAAGACAGTTATAATCTCCATAGGTCAACAAAACATTTGCATTTGAAGTGCCACATTTCACTAATTCCAAGCTGTACATTTTTAACATTCCAATATCTCTAAATGTGGGACATATCTCTATCACTGGAGTCTTACAATCGTCAGCCTGGAGTGACGCCAAGTGTTTCTAATATTTACCTTTCCTTTTGCCAGTCTCCTGGAAGCCCTATCAATTTAAGAAAACTTTAAGTAAAATTTTCTGCTTGTGACTTTTTGGGCCTAATTCAGATTGCAAACCCATATGAGAACCAGTGTAGGTTTTATATTCTCTGGGGAAATTCTTTCTTTCAACATCTTATCCACTGTCAAACTGAAGCAAACTTCCTTGCTGTCTTTGTGTTGTGGGTTATTTCTCATTCATCCTTACACTAATAAGGAGATAGCCCTTTGATGTCCCAGCTTTATGCCGTCTTACGCACTTTTCTGTTTAATTAATATGTAAAATAACTTCATCTTATAATCAATAGTGTCTTAGATTTGATGGTATACGGTTTGTTTCTTTGTTTTTGAGACAAGAGTCTTGCTTTTTCACCCAGGCTGGAGTGCGGTGGGGCAATTTCGGCTCACTGCAACCTCCGTCTCCTGGGTTCAAGCGATTCTCATGCCTCAGCCACCCGAGCAGCTGGGACTACAGGCCCCTGACACCACGCCCGGCTAATTTTTTCTTTTTTTGTATTTTTAGTAGAGATGGGGTTTCGCCATGTTGGCCAGGCTCATCTTGAACTTCTAATCTCAAGTGATTCGCCCACCTCGGCCTCCCAAAGTGCCGGGATTACTGGCGTGGGCCACTATGCCTGGCCGATATATGGTGTATTAACATGAAGAAACACAGGATGTTTCAGCACTTACTCTACTGATAATTAATACAAAGAAGAATCTGGAAATGCCTCAATTTTACAAAGCTATAGGTTCTTCTTTTCAAAATTATTTATTTCTTTACTTTTTTCTCCAGATAACCACAAAATTTCAAGTACTATAAAGAAAGTGAAAGCCTCTTTATATGTAGCTCTCCTCCCAGTGGCAGCTCTAGAATTTCTATGTTGAAGAGATTTTGGAGTGGTAATCTTCTTGGAAATCTTAATTTGTCCGAACCTTAATTTCAACAGCTAGTACCTAAGAGCCCTGCTTTTTTAAATTGCATGATTACTTCAGATAGCTGACAGACCCAGGTAAGCTGGAGTAGACACACATGTGTGTGAGATACAGGATTACCATTCTTTTAATTTTTGTCTTTTAATTGGTTAAAAAATATTCTCTCATTATTATTTCAGTTTTTTAAATTACTAGTAAAATTGACAATCACTATAGCTTTTGACCAAAAAAGGTTAATGCTTTCTCTCTAAATAACAAGAAGAATATAATCATCCCACAGACTAGCTCAAAAAACAAAAAATATATATTATTATTTTTACATACAAGAGTGGCTTGTTATCTTCAGGATCATCATCTTCAACTTCCAGAAGCCAGCCATAACCTCTTTGTCTCAGAAATGTAGTAGCTGTAGATTCTTTGATAAAATCTCCACCAAGATTTAATTTGACATCTGGGGATGCTATTGAACCACTGAGATCTTAGGAGAAAAGAGGATAAAACTATATAAACTAAGGCACAACATGTGAATCTTAACCAAAGTGAGCAGATATTCAACTAAAATAATTATCATTTGAAGATCTCTAAGAACATCTGCTATTGCATATAATCTTCAAATTTTATAGTTGACAGACATCTAAAAACCATCATTTATTTTATAAGAATAAAATGAAAGATGAAAGAAGTGAAAAAACGTACAAAAGGTTTCACAGCTAATTAGCCAGACTGGTACCAGAATCTAGACTTAACAACAGTAATTCCTTAAAATTTCCATGGAAAATATATGCAAAATACATTACATGACATCATTTTGGATTCCTTCATTCTTACACATATCATGTGCCTCAGAACAAAGTAACTGAATAAATTCTTTTCAGAGGCATTACATATGTATATATACAAACTATTAGACAATTTATTTACTAAAGGAAATTCGTAGATAATTTTTCTCTACCTTTTCATGTATTTATTTATTCATATATTCTTTCATTTAAATCATCACATATCTATGCTAAGTGTTTCATATATTAATGCTTAATTCTTGATAAGTCTGATGAGTAAGAGTCCCCTGTTATTTCAGCCAAAACTTCCCTTTTCTTCACATAATTACATCATTCATCTTCAGTTTTGGCAAAAATAAATAAAGGCTATGTTTTCTTTTTGTTTTTATTTTTTAGGTCGGCTCTAACAAGAGGTGAAGAGATTCAGTTATCCACATTAAAAAATAAATTCCATGTAGAGTCTGCACAGTATCTCAGGGGTTACAGATAATCATGGTAGTACTAATGCCATCTTTGCTAGTTAAAAAATGGAAATAGTTAAGGATTTGCCTGAGGTCACATAGGGATTAAAAAGAAAAAGCACATTTGTAGGACCAGATAATATACATTAATAAACAACCATCAATACTGTCAGTGCAAGTCACATGATTATAGTATTATTTCAGAAAAATACTTTTGGAAACACCAAACCAGAACACTCTAACACAGATAGATACCTCTCTGGAGATCATGTCCAACCAATACCAAAGTTAGCTTCCTTAAAAAACAAAAAACCATTTTTCATATACAGTACAAAGAGCTTAATTTGCACAATACTCTATGAGTCACATCCTGGTCGGCTTATGACAACTCCTGCAATTAAGTTTGACAAATGTTTACATTCTGAAGCTAAGTCCCAGCTTAGCTACTAACTGATACAGCAAATCATTCATGTTTTCCGGGCCCTAGTTTCCTATTCAAAGTTCTTTCCAGGTTAAACATTATATAATTCTAAAAAGTTTTTATAAAGGCGCTCACTCAGAGATAAAATATAACCAGATTTGAATTCACCACTTAAAGTTCAAAAATAATCCCTGTACATGTTATCATATAATTGCATAGTGAAAATACTCTCTTATAAGTGCTTGCTACTTCTTTGTCTAAGTTGAAATGAGAGAGGTGGAATTTAAAAGTCTATTTCTAATAGATACAAAGAGTGTTATTTCTTCTTTTTTTTGTATCAGAGCCTCACTCTGTTGTCAGGCTGGAGTGCAGTGGTGTCATCTCGGCTCACCGCAACCTCTGTCTCCTAGGTTCAAGCCATTCTCCTGCCCCAGCCTCCTGAGTTGGGATTACAGGTGCACACAACCATGCCCGGCTAATTTTTATTTATTTATTTATTTATTGCTCTGTCTCCCAGGCTGGAGTGCAGTGGGGCAATCTCGGCTCACTGCAACCTCCACCTCCTGGGTTCAAGTAATTCTCCTGCCTCGGCCTCCTGAGTAGCTGAGATTACTGGCGTGTACCAGCATGCCTGGCTAATTTTTGTATTTTTAGTAGAGATGGGGTTTTGCCATGTTGGCCAGGCTGGTCTCGAACTCCTGACCTCAGATAATCTGCCCACCCTGGCCTTCCCCAAGTGCTGGGATTACAGGTGTGAGCCACCGCGCCAGGCCAAGAGTGTTTTTTCTTAACAAGAAGAAGATTTACATCCAGAAATCATTAGTACAGCAGTGACATTAGAGGTTTTGCAGTTATGAGGCTGGAAAGGACCTTAACAACTGTTTCCTGGTTTCTAGAAAGGACTGTACTTAAAGTCCTTAATCTAAACCAAAAAAGGATATATAAATTATAGTGCTAAGGAATGTTGTGCTCAAGAACTGTACATGTTTAGCAGTTTGTCATAGCGCAGATGCAAGAACCTCAAAAAGGCATCTTCAGCTTACAAATTTTCTAGTACTTTCTGTTCCATGTAAAGTAGAAAAAATATCAAGGACATATGTAGGAATGCCAACAATAGCAGTTTGACACCTCCCCCAGGACCCCCAAGACATAACTGTCAGTGAGAAAGAACAGGAAAGTCCAAAAAATTAGTAGTAGTTTAACATGTTATCAAGTTAACAAGTGGAGAATGATGTCAGAGAGCAAGAAAAACAATTAAAAATTACTCCAGGAGCATGGCTGATTTAATTTAAACCAGAGTAAGAACAAGCTAGCTTGGTTGTCAGCTCTTGGATAGACGTCCAGATAGTAAAACATGAATTTTAGGTTAATTCTTCCTTACTATACTATATATAAAATATTCTTGTCATTTCCTAAGTAAAAACAATGTAAAGGATAATAAATATAAAAGTGGATTTAAAAAGATACAATCTTTTAAAAAATCTATTGTAAAAGGAAATTTTAAAAATGTTTCTACAGCTGTTTTGGCTCAGAGTGAAGAGTATCAGTAAATTTCAAGTCTTACTGAAAGCCACCTTTGGAAAACCCACACAACAAAATTTAACAGGAATTTTTCTTCCCTTTCAACTCAAATGTATGACTGGGTATGGGGTCCTTTCTCTGAATCTTCTGCTCAGCCTGAGAATGTGAAAAATTCTCACAGTGCAGTGTGATAGTACACTGAAGATGAAATTTACTACTGATCTGCCCCTAGACAAGTTCCCGATTTCTGTGAAAGAAGAGTATCCTGCAATAAACAATGAACATTTTGTGGCACTTGACACATTCTTATATACGTAAAGAAGCTTTTCCTTATTTAATAAGCAACAAGAGCAAGGACAAAAATCATCTCGTTTCATCTCATCTCAGACTTGAAAATGAAGTCTATGTGTGCTTCAGTATGACCCAGAGTTGTGTATATGTGCCACAGAAACAAAAACAAGCATATGTTTTTGCACTAAAAGATATTAATAAATTTCATTATTTCATTTGAGTTATAAGGATACCATTTTATTTATTTTAGAGACAGACTCTCTTGTCCAGGCTGGAGTGCAGTGCCATGATCACAACTCACTGCAATCTCCACCTCCCAGGTTCAAGCGATTCAACTACCTCAGCCTCTCGAGTAGCTGGGATTACAGGCATGCACCACCATGCCCAGCTAAGTTTTGTATTTTTAGTAGAGATGGGGTTTCAACATGTTGGCCAGTCTGGTCCTGAACTCCTGGCCTCATGTAATACACCTGCCTTGGCCTCCCAAAGTGCTGGGATTAAAGACACGAGCCACTGTGCCTGGCCTAAGGATACCATTTTAATGTATACATAGGCCTATGAAAGAGATCAAGAAACTAATGCATGTGCATAATCTTGTAACTGCTAGACCTATACTGGAGCTTGATCACGTTACTCTGTAAGAAAATGTTTTTTTCAGCAGGGTGGGGTGGCTCAGGTCTGTAATCCCAGTCGAGGTGGGCAGATCACGAGGTCAAGAGATCGAGACAATCCTGGCCAACGTGGTAAAACCCTGTCTCTACTAAAAATGCAAAAATTAGCTGGGTGTGGTGGCGTGCGCCTGTAGTCCCAGCTACTCGGGAGGCTGAGGCAGGAGAATCACTTGAGCCCGGGAGGTGGAGGTTGCACTGAGCTGAGATCGCGCCACTGCACTCCAGCCTGCCAACAGAGCGCAACTCCATCTCAAAAAAAAAAATGTTTTTTTCAAAGTCTTGTATAAATTTTTGTCTTAGGTTATATTTTTAATCATGTTGTTCTGGTTTATGGTTTTAGTAGTTTTTCTATCAAATATTATAGGTAAATTTTCATACTGTAAATAATTAAATTCTGTAATTTATCTGATAAACAAAAAGATGAAATTTCTTTTGTCTTATGTCTTTAAATTTTTATTTTGAAAAATTATAGATTCATAGAAAGTTACAAAAATGGAAAAGAGAGGTCTTATGTACCCTTTACCCAGTTTTTCCCAATAGTACAAACTCACATAACTATCAAATTCAGGACACTGACACTGGTACAATCCACAGACCTTATTCAGATTTCACCAGTTTGACATGCACTCATTTGTGTGTGTGTATATGTGTTTATAGTTCTATGCAATTTAATCACATTTGTAGATTTGTGTAATGCCTTATGAGTTTTAAAACTCATGCAAATAAGTAGATTAATTAATGAAAAAAGTAAACCTTGTTTAACTCCCCTAAGAAAGGTTGGCTAAAATGTCATTTTCAGTTTTCAAAAAGGAAATAAAAGTTATTCTTGCACCCATTACATACTATATATCATACTTCACCAGCATATTGTATAGAAAACATTTGTGATAAGACTAGACCTATATGGATATTATTTTTCATAAGTAGGAATCATAGACTTCGAGACCAACCTGGCCAAGACAGTGAAACCCCATCTCTACCAAAAATACAAAAATTAGCCGGGTGCGGTGGCGAGCACCTGTAATCCCAGCTACTTGGGAGGCTGAGGCAGGAGAATTGCTTGAGCCTGGGAGGTGGAGGTTGCAATGAGCTGAGATCGCACCACTGCACTCTAGCCTGGGTGACACAGCAAGACTCCGTCTCCAAAAAAAAAAAAAAAAGGAAAAACTAAAGATTCCTCTGTCTACATTACTAACTTGTATTAGAGGTGACATCCTTTCTGGGAAGGGGGAATTTCAAACAAAGAATAGGCTGAAATGGTCACAATAACAGAGTGACAGAAAAGTATCACTCAAAAGAACACTGATAGTAATTATCTACAATTTACTGATCACTGTATTGTGAGCTGCAGGTATTATAATTTTTATATAGGGATAAAAAGACTGAAGAAGGCCAAGGTTGAAATGCAATATATTGAGTCCAGTCCTCTTCACTAGATTTATATAACCTATTGTCAACATTTCCTTGCATCTATCTCAAAGGCATCTAAAATTCAATATTCCAAAACTGATATATCTCAGGTCTTCCTCCATTTTTTTCATTAAATGATACTACTAATCTATCCAGCATTGTAAGCTAGAAGCTTATCCTTGACAGTTTGCTTTATTTGCATGCTTCCTCTCCATCCAAACCACCACTAAATTGTCAGTTTTACCTCTAAATATTTTTAAATGTCTGTCCACTTACCATTTCTACCACCAGTAGCAAGCTCATGCAAACCATCAACTCCTGTCTGCATGATTATAATGGTGTACAAACTGCCCTCCCCCCAGTCATTCTTGTCTCCTTCCAATCCATACTCTTCACTGTACCCCGGAGACTCTTTCTAAGATGCAAATATTTCACTCTTTTGTTTAGAATCCTTCATCTCCCTCCCCCAGTTGCTTTTCTAGCTCAAGTCCAATAATCTCTACATGCCCTATCTTATCCAGGCCCACTTACCTGCTCTCCTCTCAATCTGGACTCTATACCCTAGCCACACTAAGCCTCTCATTTCTCTGAATGAACCTGGATTCTGTTTGTCTCAGGGACCTTGTGCCAGGCTGTTTCCTCCAACTTCAGATAATTAAATGCCATCCATTCTTCAGTTCTCAGATATACTTGCTGTATTAGTCCATTCTTGCATTGCTCTAAAGAACTACCTGAGACTGAGTAATTTATAAACAAAAGAGGTTTGACTCACAGTTCCACAGGCTCTACAGGAAGCATGGCTGGGTATGCCTTAGGAAACTTACAATCACGGCAGATTGCAAAGGGGAAGCAGGCAGTTTTACATGGCCAGAGGAGGGAGAGACAGACAGTGGAGGTGCTACACCCTTTTAAAAAACCAGACCTTGTGAGAACTCACTATGACAAGAACAGCAAGAGGGAAGTCCACCCCCATGATCCAGTCACCTCCCACCAGGCCTCTCCTCCAACACTGAAGATTACAATTCAACATGAGATTTGGGCAGGGACACAAATCCAAACCATTACACTCGCTTAAGCAAATTTTCCTTGATCCTGCAGACTAGACTATGTAAGTTCCTTTCACAGTTCCCTCCACTTTTCCTTCACGATATTTATCACTATATATAATTATATATTTGTGTAATTACTTGGTTGTTTATAAAATCTATGAAAGGAGAGACTATTTGGGATTTTTGGTGGCATTTGTCTTGGTACATATATCCCCAGTACTTATAATAGTGCCTGATCCATAGTAGGCAATCAACAAATGTGCATGCTTATTGAATGAATTAATTGATGGAAGGGCAAACAATACCATAAAGCTTAAATTAAGAAGTGATATTAGGCCTGGCGTGGTGACTCATGCCTGTAATCAATCCCAGCACTTTGGGAGGCAGAGGTGGGCGGATCACTTGAGGTCAGGAGTTTGAGACCAGCCTGACCAACGTGGTAAAACCCCGTCTCTATTAAAAAAATACAAAAATTAGCCGAGCATGGTGGCAGGCACCTGTAATCCCAGCTACTTGGGAGGCTGAGGCAGGAGAATTGCTTGAACCTGGGAGGCAGAGGTTGCAATGAGCCAAGATTGCGCCATTGCACTCCAGCCCGGGCAACACAGCGAGACTCTTGTCTCAAAAAAAAAAAAAGACATGAGATAAATGAAAGCAAAAATAATTTATTCAACAAATAATTCTTTTGTGATATTTATACCATGGGTTCTATGATAGGTACTGGGGTATAGAAAATATTAGGAAGTTTCCGTTTCTGAGGGACAGTTAAAGCAAGTTTTACCAAGGAAAGAGCATTTGAGTTCAGTCTTAGGTTTTAACTTAAGGCGAGGAGGAGAAAGACATTCTAAGCATGATGATCAGAATCTGCATCCACATGGAGACAAAACACCAAAGCACATTTTAGAATAAAGGGTATGTGTGGAGAAATAGTAAGGATAGCTATCATTAAGAATGAGGGATTTGGACAGAATCTAGAAGGAAGGTTATACACTGAAAACATCTGTAAGTTGAAAATATTCATGGTTAAAAAACACTATAAAAAGGGGAGAAGCAAGAATTTATATGACGTGTAGAAACCAGGGAAAAGACCCGGAGTTGTACAGTAAAATGTTCATGTTGGAAAACAATAAAAAAAAAGTGTGGGGTCAGTTAACACTGAAACCCAAGCAGCAACATCATTACTCACATATGTTGAACACTTAACTCTGCCAGATATAGTAGTAAATGTTTTACATTTACAAAGTATTTGAGCACTTGGGTATTCCTTTTTTTTTTTTTTTTTTGAGACAGTCTCACTCTGTCGCCCAGGCGGGAGTGCAGTGGCGCGATCTTGGCTCACTGCAAGCCCCACCTCCCAGGTTCACGCCATTCTCCTGCCTCAGCCTCCAGAGTAGCTGGGACTACAGGCACCCGCCACCACCCCCGGCTAATTTTTTTGTATTTTTAGTAGAGACTGGGTTTCACCTTGTTAGCCAGGATGGTCTTGATCTCCTGACCTCGTGATCCGCCCACCTCGGCCTCCCAAAGTTCTGGGATTACAGGCGTGAGCCACCCACCTGGCCTGCACTTGGGTATTCTTATTCCCAATTTGTATATGAGGAAAATGAGGTTAAGAAAGGGTAAGTTGGCGGGGCACAGTGGCTCACACCTGTAATCCCAGCACTTTGGGAAGCTGAGGCGGGTGGATCACGAGGTCAGGAGTTCGAGAACAGCTTGGCCAATGTGGTGAAACCCCGTGTCTACTAACGATACAAAACATTAGCTGGGTGTGGTGGCGCGAGCCTGTAATCCCAGCTACTTGGGAGGCTGAGGCAGAAGAATCGCTTGAACCCGGGAGGCAGAGGTTGCAGTGAGCCAAGATGGTGCCATTGCACTCCAGCCTGGGCGACAGGGCGAGACTCCGTCTCAAAAACAAAACAAAACAAAAAAGGTAAGTAGCTTGCCCAAGATCACATGGAGAGTAATTGATAAAGCCAGGATGCAAATCCAGGACTCTTCCATACTTCAGATACACAATTTAGAAAAATGTAAGAAAGAGACAGTAGAAAGAAACTTGAGGAGATAGCAGAATAGCTCTTTGGTTTTGTTTTTTTGAGATGGGGTGTCACTACGTTCCCCTGGGTGGCCTCAGACTCCTGGGCTCAAGCAATCATCTTGCTTCAGCCTCCTGAGTAGCTGGGATCGCAGGTGCATGCTATCACACCTGGCTGTAGACTAGCTCTTAATTCCAGATCTAGCATGTGAAAATTGCTAAACCTCTCTAAGCCTCAGTTTCTTTTTTTCCTTTTTTTTTTTCAGCCAGGGTCTTGCTTTGTTGCCTAGGCTGGAGCACACTGGCACAATCACAGCTCACTGCAGCCTAGACCTCCCAGTCTCAAGTGAGACTCAGAGTAGCTGACCCCATGGTAGCTGGGACCACAGGTGTGCACTACCATGGTTGCCTTTTTTTTTTTTTTTTTTTTTGAGACAGAGTCTCACCCTGTCACCCAGGCTGAAGTGTGATGGCATGATCTTGGCTCACTGCAACCTCTGCCTTCTGGGTTCAAGTGATTCTCCTGCCTCAGCCTCCTAGGTAGCTGGGATTGGGATTGCAGGTGCGTGCCACCATGCCCGGCTAATTTTTTGTATGTTTTGTAGAGATGGGGTTTTGCCATGTTGCCCAGGCTGGTATCAAACTCTCGAGCTTAAGCCAACTGCCCACCTCAGCCTAAAGTGCTGGGATTACAGGTGTAAGCCACCACACCCAGCTCACCTCAGTTTCTTTATAGAATACAGGAATAATAAAGCTCACTGGGAGTCTTATAAAGAACAAATGAGGCTGGGTGTGGTGGCTCATGCCTGTAATCCCAGTACTTTGGGAGGCCAAGGTGGGTGGATCACTTGAGCCCAGGAGTTCAAGACCAGCCTGTGAAACATGGCGAAACCCTGTCTCTACAAAAAATACAAAAATTAACCAGGCATGGTGGCGTACACCTGTAGTCCCAGTTACTCAGGAGGCTGAGGCAGGAGAATCACTTGATCCCAGGAGGTGGAGATTGCAGTGAGCTGAGATCAAGCCACTGCACTCCACCCTAGGCAAGGGGAGTGAAACTCTGTCTCAAAAAAGGAAAAAAAAAAAAAGATCAAATGAGTAGTATACTTAAAATACTCTAAATTTAAACTGTACGATATAATATTGTGTGAGGATATTATGCATATACATATAGCTCCGTGGATATACAGACCTATATGTCTCCTGAGGAAATACAGAGAAGTTTGAATAAACTTCATGGATTTTTACTTATTTCAGGTTTCTTAGTATGTGGAATCAATGGGTTATCTACTTACATTATTCTGTCGGATTTCTTAGGCATATTTAAAAAAAGTAATTCCTCAGGGAAGGGAGAATGAAAAAAATAAACAAATACATGGAAACATGAGTTTGAACAAACATCATGTTCTGACACTTAAACAATTTTTTTAAACCTGGGAAATTAAAGTTGATATTCCTCCCTAAGCACCATGCTACCAAATGTAGATGAAACAAATTGAAATATTTTGGGGTGCTGTATCTCAGTTTAAAAGAAATTTACGGCTTGGCTGGTAGCTCACATCTGTAATCCCAGCAATTTGGGAGGCCAAGAATCTGAGACAAGCCTAGGCAACCTAGTGAGATCTACAAAATGTTCAAAAATTAGGCCGGGCGCGGTGGCTCACGCCTGTAATCCCAGCACTTTGGGAGGCCGAGGCAGGCAGATCACGAGGTCAGGAGATCGAGACCATCCTGGCTAACACAGTGAAACCCCGTCTCTACTAAAAATACAAAAAAAAAATTAGCCGCGCGTGGTGCCGGGCGCCTGTAGTCCTAGCTACTCGGGAGGCTGAGGCAGAGAATGGCGTGAACCCGGGAGGCGGAGCTTGCAGTGAGCTGAGACTGCGCCACTGCACTCCAGCCTGGGCGACAGAGCAAGACTCTGTCTCAAAAAAAAAAAAAATTAGCCTGGGCGGATCACAAGATCAGGAGATCAAGACCATCCTGGCTAACACAGTGAAACCCCGTCTCTACTAAAAAAATACAAAAAAATTAGCTGGGTGTGGTGGCTGGCACCTGTAGTTCCAGCTACTCGGGAGGCTGAGGCAGGAGAATAGCATGAACCTGGGAAGCGGAGCTTGCAGTGAGCCAAGACTGCACCACTGCACTCCAGCCTGGGTGACAAAGTGAGACTCCGCCTCAAAAAAAAAATATATATATATATATTAGCTGGGCACGGTGGCACAGACCTTAGGGTTTCATGGGTCCACTTGAAGAGAATAAGCCACCCAGAAAAACCAGCCACCAGACGGTCTCCAGCTACTCAGGAGACTGAAGCGGGAGGATCACTGGAGCCCAGGAATTTGAGGTTATAGTAAGCTATGATCAAACCACTGCACTCCAGCCTGGCAACCGAGTGAGACCACACCTCAAAAAAAAAAAAAAAGAACATAAGAGAAAAAAAAATAAATGTCTCAGCTATGTTCCCTTTGATAGACAAAAATTTTATTGTACATTTTAAATTATGACCAGTACTATTTTTAAAAAACAATGCCAAACAGCACAACAAGAAAAACAAAAGGGAAAACAAGCTATACTGATACACCATAAAATTTCTTAGGAAAATCTAGGTTCTTTCGGCCGGGCGCGGTGGCTCACGCCTGTAATCCCAGCACTTTGGGAGGCCGAGGCGGACGGATCACGAGGTCAGGAGATCGAGACCATCCTGGCTAACACTATGAAACCCCGTCTCTACTAAAAAAAAATACAAAAAAAAAAAAAATTAGCCGGGCGTGGTGGCGGGCGCCTGTAGTCCCAGCTACACGGGAGGCTGAGGCCAGAGAATGGCGTGAACCCGGGAGGCAGAGCTCGCAGTGAGCCGAGATGGCATCACTGCACTCCAGCCTGGGCGACAGAGCGAGACTCAGTCTCAAAAAAAAAAAAAAAAAAAAAGGAAAATCTAGGTTCTTTCTCAGACTGAAATTTCTGTAAACATAATTTATGATTTCATAGCAGCCAGTAAGTCTGGTCACTGGAAAATAACTGGTGCACGAAGTGTAATAAAAATTTGAAAATGGCCGGGGCGCGGTGGCTCACGCCGGTAATCCCAGCACTTTGGGAGGCCGAGGCGGGCGGATCACGAGGTCAGGAGATCGAGAGACCATCATGGCTAACACGGTGAAACCTCATCTCTACTAAAAATACAAAAAAAATTAGTCGGGGGTGGTGGCGGGTGCCTGTAGCCCCAGCTACTCGGGAGGCTGAGGCAGGAGAATGGCGTGAACCCGGGAGGCGGAGCTTGCAGTGAGCCGAGATCGCGCCACTGCACTCCAGCCTGGGCGACAGAGCTCAAGAAAAAAAAAAAAATTGAAAATGACTAGCAGAATAATATCCAGGTTATGAGTTGGATAGGGAACTGAGAATAGGAGGGAAACATTCTCCTGTGCTGTAGGAAAATATCTCCAGCACAATCGCTTCCTCAGAATAATACAAGGAAATCTGTAGAGGCTACTGGAAACACATTGTTGGTTTACACTAAACTTCCAATATACCTGCGTCAATTTCTCTGAATACTGAGGTGAAACATTACAAAATGCGAGGAAAACGGGGACTCGGGCAAGACATCAAATTCAATAAAAACCATTTAGTTTGTATTTGCAGTGCCGAATCTGATCCCAGACCCCCCCCAAAAAATTATCTGTTGATACATAACAGAAGAAAACAGCCCTCCTTCCTTTTTCTCATTCTTTGAGATCTCCCTTGGCCAATCTGTCCTTTTTCTGAGTAAGGGCGAGTAATTCCAGAACTAAAAGCTTAGGATTTTGTGGGTCCAATTGAAGAGACTAAGCCACCCAGAAAAACCAGCCACCAGACGGTATGGGGAAAACCAAGGGCTGACCGAGTAACTTGATGCTTTAAAAAGCAGCTCCCTACACCCCTCCCTCCGTCCTTCGGGGCCTCTCGGAAGGCCCGGCAGGCGTGGTGGGCTGCAGTCACCAGTCAGCTTCCTGCCTGTCCCCACCCGGCCACGACCACCTCGGCACCAGAAAGACCCTACGGCGTCGGGCCCTGGCTTCCTCCGGGTGATAGCCCTTCCAGGGGCTCAGCCTCACCTTCCGCGTCTGCTGAGGAGACAAAGGTGAAGTCCCCGTTAGTGGGGGCATAGGCCGGGGGCGGGCCCGGAGGCTGCATCTCGCGGCGACTCCCAACCGGCCGCGGTAGAAGAGGCTGCGGCTGGGCCCAGACCCCGAGGCGGCCGCGGCGGCGACCCGCACGCTCGCCCTACGGTGCGGCCTACGAGTCTCGACGTGCAAGCTGCGAGCGAGGCCAGAAACGGGCACAGCGGGCCGCTGAGCTGCCCCGAGACTACCCCACCAAAGTCTTCTTGGTGGCGACCACCCAAGCACCACGACGCCGGCACCCTGACAGGACCATAACAGTGACAGCGGCGCTGGGATTGGCTCTTTGTAATGTGCTCTCCCATTGGCTCCCGGAGGAAGATTCTGATTGGGTCTTCCTGTTGTTGATTCCGGAAGTTTACCCAGGACAGGAAGTTCACTTGTAATTCGTGGAAATCTCAGGCCTCTTTTTCCTCCTTGGGTGCTTTTGTTCCTTTAAGTGCGATCTTTCCTGGCGTTTTGTTTACCTATTACCTCCGTTTTTGTTAAGTGGGTGGGTTAAAGAATTTTAGAACTAGGTAGATTTTATGGGTCAGCCGCCGTACAGGATCTCAAGATTCCCTTGCCATTAGCCATTAATTAATAGTGTAGGATCTTGACTAAGTTATATGTAATGTCTGGATGGCAGTTTCCTCACCTGTAAGATGAAGAGGGATGGATCGGAGAATGAAGATAAAAGGCAGAGAAGCCGTAAATCGCCACCCAGAGACTAGGGCTGTAGATACATTCCTTTATGAGGGAGAAAACTGAGGCCAGAGAAAGTAAGGTAGAAACAGATTTAGGACAGTACCTAAATCTCCTAATTTCTAGTCAAGTGCTCTTTTCACTGGAAGGCCCTGTCTACTGATAAGCTTGCCGAAGTTAACAAACTCACCTGCTTTTAAATGTTTACATACGTAACTTTAATATTCAAGCTACATAAATGTGGCTTCCAACTTGAAGAAAGAGGGGTTGGGGTATATTAGGAGGCCAACTTGGAGAAATACACAATTGATCAGCAATAGAGCAATCGAGAGACATGTCTATTAGTGTGTTAAATGGTATTTCTGGAAAATTTTCTCACAGGAGGTAACATGTTGGTACTTAAAGGATGAGTAAATGTAGTGGTTTTGTTTGTTTTAGAGACAAGGTCGCTCCGTTACCCAGGCTGGAGTGCAGTGGTGCAGTAATAGCTCCTTGTAACCTCACACTCCTGGGCTCAGGCAGTCCTCCCAACTCAGCTATCTAAGTAGCTGGGACTACAAGCCCCCTGCCACCATGTTTGGCTAATATTTATTTATTTATTTATTTATTTTTGAGACGGAGTCTCATTCTGTCGACAGGATGGAGTGCAGTGGCGCGATCTCGGCTCACTGCAACCTCCGCCTCCAGGGTTCAAGCGATTCTCCTGCCTCAGCCTCCCGAGTAGCTGGGACTACAGGTGCCTGCCACCACGCCTGGGTAATTTTTTGTATTTTTAGCAGAGACGGGGTTTCACCATGTTAGTCAGGATGGTCTCGATCTCCTGACCTTGTGGTCTGCCTGCCTTGGCCTCCCAAAATGCTGAGATTACCGGCGTGAGCCACTGCACCCAGCCCGAATATAACCATTTTTTAAAACATGCCAATTTGATGGGTGATTGTGGGGAAAAGAAAGAGAGATCAGATTGTTACTGTGTCTGTGTAGGAAGAAGTAGACATAGGAGACTCCATTTTGTTCTGTACTAAGACAAATTCTTCTGCCTTGAGATGCTGTTAATCTATAACCTTAGCCCCAAACCCGAACTCTCTGAAACATGTGCTGTGTCAACTCACGGTTAAATGGATTAAGGGCTGTGCTAGATGTGCTTTGTTAAACAGATGCTGGAAGGCGGCATGCTCCTTAAGAGTCATCACCACTCCCTAATCTCAAGTACCCAGGGACACAAACACTGCGGAAGGCCGCAGGTACCTCTGCCTAGGAAAGCCAGGTGTTGTCCAAGGTTTCTCCCCATGTGATAGTCTGAAATATGGCCTCGTAGGAAGGGAAAGACCTGACCGTCCTCCAACCCGACACCCGTAAAGGGTCTGTGCTGAGGAGGATTAGTATAAGAGGAAGGCATGCCTCTTTGCAGTTGAGACAAGAGGAAGGCATCTGTCTCCTGCCCATCCCTGGGCAATGGAATGTCTTGGTATAAAACCCGATTGTATGTTCCATCTACTGAGATAGGGGAAAACTGCCTTAGGGCTGGAGGTGGGCCATGCGGGCAACAATACTGCTCTGTAAGGCATTGAGATATTTATGTGTATGCATATCTAAAGCACAGCACTTAATTCTTTACCTTGTCTATGATGCAGAGACCTTTGTTCACGTGTTTATCTGCTGACCTTCTCTCCACTATTATCCTATGACCCTGCCACATCCCCGTCTCTGAGAAACACCTAAGAATGATCAATAAATACTAAGGGAACTCAGAGGCTGGCAGGATCCTCCGTATGCTGAACGCTGGTCCCCTGGGCTCCCTTATTTCTTTCTCTATACTTTGTCTCTGTGTCTTTTTCTTTTCCAAGTCTCTCGTTCCACCTAACGAGAAACACCCACAGGTGTGGAGGGGCAACCCACCCCTTCAGGTGACACATATTTTATTGTTTTAAATTTCATGTTATTTGTTTTAACTAAATGATGATATTTCTAAGTACTAGAAAAATGGACAGAATCCTGAGTGGGTGGAAGAGACACGACGTGAATGAAAGGAGATGTCTTTAATTTTGAATTAATACTAGTGAAAGAAGAATATAATGTAACAAACTGTAGTTTGAAGGTAAATAAACCCCATTTGATTAACATTGTATTTACAGCCAGGAACCTGATGTTGTGCACACTTAGATGAAAGGGCAATAACTCAGAAAAACCGAATTGAAAGCTTCCAGGATTTATTTAAGCATATTGTTGAGTCAATACATAAGGACTTGTAGGCCATACCATTGGCCAATTCATTCTTTTATTTTTTTTGAGACAGTCTCACTCTGTTGCCCAGGCTGGAGTGCGGTGGCGCGATCTCGGCTCACTGCAACTGAGTTCAAGTGATTCTCATGCCTCAGCCTCCCGACTAGCTGGGATTACAAGCGCCTGCCACTGAGCTCGGCTAATTTTTTGTATTTTTAGGACAGACAGAGTTTCACTATCTTGGCCAGGCTGGCCTTGAACTCCTGACCTCATGATCCACCCACCTCGGCCTCCCACAGTGCTGGGATTACAGGCGTGAGCCACCGCGCTGGCAGCCAATTCATTCTTAATTTGTTGGTTCTGTATCTTGGTAAATAGTATCCTCCTTCACCTAGTCGTTAAAGCCAGAAATTTGAATTACATTGCAGGCTCCTCCCTTTCACTCACCTCTTAAATCCCCTTCGATCTTGCTTGTTCTGTCTCTGAAATAGAACTTGAGAGCACTTCTCTTCATCTTTATGGCTACTATTCTCATTGAAATTACTATTATCTCACCTAAACAGCTATCACTTCTTAACTGGTTTTACAGTGCAGCAGCTAAAGTGATTCTTTAAAACACAAGCATCATTATTCCTCTCTCAGTGTAGAAACTGTCAGTGGTTTTCCACTGCTTTTAGAGTGAAATCTAAACTCCTTTCTCCTGCCAGCCTCCCTAGCCTCATCTCATGCCACTCTTCTGCTTGTAATCAATCATCTTGGCCTTTTTACAGTTCTTAGAATTAGCTAAGCTCTTTCTCGCCTCAAGGCTTCTGTGCTTGCTCTTCTCTGACTAGAACATTGTTCCTTTGCGCTTTCAGGGCTGGTTCCATTCATCCATGAGACCTCAGCTTAAATGTCACCATCCTAGCTTCCTTGACCAGCATATTAATCTCTATTATAGTACCCTAGTTATTTATTTCCTAGCACTTATCACAAATATGCCATTATGCTATTTATCTGCTCACTTATTATTTATTTATTTATTTATTTTTGAGACAGAGTCTTGCTCTGTCGCCCAGGCTGGAGTGCAGTGCCAAAGTCTTGGCTCACTGCAACCTCCGCCTCCCAGGTTCAAGCGATTCTCCTGCTTCAGCCTGCCGAGTAGCTGGGACTACAGGCACGCACCACCACACCCGGCTAATTTCTGTATTTTTAGTAGAGATGGGGTTTCACATATTGATCAGGCTGGTCTTGAACTCCTGACCTCGTGATCCACCTGCCTCAGCCTCCCAAAGTGCTGGGATTACAGGCGTGAGCCACTGCGCCCGACCTCACTTATTTTTTAGAGGAGTGAAGAAACACAAGAATAAATGAACGCAAAACCACAATGAGATGCATGTCACCCATTAAGATGGCTGTAATTTTAAAAAGACAGAAATAACAAGTGTTGACAAGGATGTGAAGAAATTGGAACCTTTATACACTGCTCTTTGTGATACAAAATGTAGCTGCTGTTTTAGAACACTGTCCGGCAGTTCCTCAAATGCTTAAACATAGATGTACCATATGATCTAGCAATTGCACTCCTAGAGAAATGAAAACATATGGCCACACAAAAATTCGTGTGGACACAAGCACACTAATGTTCATAGCAGCAATATTCATAATAGACAAAAAGTGGAAACCACCCAAAGGTTTATCAGTTGATAAGTGAATAAATTGGTATATCCATACAATGGAATATTATTTGGCAATAAAAATGAACGAAGTACCGATACATACTAAAATTTGGATGAACCCTGAAAACATTATGCTAAGTGATAGAAGCCAATCAAAAAGGACCACATATTATTATTCCATTTATATGAAATGTCCAGAATAGGCAGGTCCATAAAGATAGACAGTAGATCAAGGCGACAGCTAAGGAGGACAGGTTTTCTTTGGGGGCTAACAAAAAATGTTCTAAAAAAAATTTTTTTTTTGAGACAGGGTCTCACTCTGTCATCCAGGCTGGAGTGCAGTGGCACAATCACAGCTCACTTCAGCCTCAGCCTCCACAGGCTGAAATGATCCTCCCACCTCAGGCTCCCAAGTGGCTGGGACTTACAGGCATGTGCCATTATGACCGGCTAATTTTTTTGTATTTTTTATAGAGATGGGGTTTTGCCACATTGCCCAGGCTGGTCTTGAACTCCTGGGCTAAAGCAATCCCCCAACTTCAGCCTCCCAAAATGTTGGGATTATAGGAGTGGGCCATTTTGCTGAGGCAGTGTTCTAAAATTGATCATGGTGATGGATGCACAACACTGTGAATATACTATAAGCCACTGAATTGTACACTTTAAATGGATGAGTTGTAAGGTATATGAATTATATCTCGACAAAGCTGTTAAAAAACAAATGAATGACCTTATGTAGAAAGTGAATAACATCCAATCTGCAGTATATTTTAACAACAGTTACCAAAAGTTTGAGCTTTGGTTTTAACATATTTCTGTTCAAATCTTATTTTTCCACTTTGCTATATTACTCTAGGCAAGTTAATTTCTTTAAGCCTAAGTTACTCCTCTGTAAAGTAGGGGTAATAATTATCTCATAGATGCGAGTTAAATGACATATTTAAAACACTTAGAGTGGTTGGCACATAGTAAACAATATGTGTCATGACAAAAACGCTCAGCAAATTAGGAACACAAGTTCCTCATTCTAATAAAGGGTGTATGTGATAAGCAGAATAATGGCCCCCCAGAGATGTCTGCATCCTAAAATCCAGAATCCATGTGTCTCAGTCTGTTTGGGCTGCTATAACAAAATACCATAGACTGGATGGCTTGTAAGCAACAAATTTATTTCTCACAGTTATGGAGGCTGGGACGTCTAAGACCAAGCTGCTGGCAAATTTGGTGGCTCATTTCCTGGTTCATAGTTGGCTACCTTGTCACTATATCCTCACGTGGTGGAAGGGATGAGGGGCTCTCTCAGGCCTTTTTTTTTTCTGTTTTTTTTTTCCAGTCAGGGTGCCTCGCTCTGTTGGTCAGACTGGAGTGCAGTGGCACAATCATAGCTCGCTATAACCTCAAACTCCTTGGCTCAAGCAATCCTCCTGCCTCAGCCTCTTGAGTAGCCTAATTTTTAATTTTTATGGGTACACAGTTGGTGTATATATTTATGGTGTACATGTTGGGCCTCTTTTATAAGTCCACTAATCCCATTTATAAAGACTTCTCGCCCATGACCTAGTCACCCCCCAAAGGCCTTACGTCGTAATATTTTGGGGGTGAGGATTTCAACATATGAATTTTGTGGGGACATAAACATGCAGACCATAGCACTATGAATATGTATGTTTGTTACATGGCAAAGGGGAATTAAGATTGCAGATGGCATCTTTGCCGCATTGGGATAACAAAGGTCTTAAATAGGACACAAAAGGCACAAATCACTTAAAAAAATGGTGAGGCCGTGCATGGTGGCTCACGTCTATAATCCCAGCACTTTGGGAGGCCGAGGTGAGTGAATCACTTGAGGTCAGGAGTTCGAGACCAGCCTGGCCAACATGGTGGAACCCCCATCTCTACTAAAAATACAAAAAATTAACTGGTGTGGTGACGGGCACCTGTAGTCCCAGCTACTTGAGAGGCTGAGCCAGGAGAATCACTTGAAGGAGGCAGAGGTTGCAGTGAGCCTGGGCAACAAAGCCAGACTCTGTCTCTCTCTCTCTCTCTCTCTCTCTCTCTCTCTCTCTCTCTATATATATATATATATATATATGTGTGTGTGTGTGAATAGAATTTCATCAAAAATTTAAAGTTCTGCTCTTTGAAAGACATTGTTAAGTCAATGAAAAGGCACATCACAAACTAGAAGAAAATAGTCACAATCCAGAAATCTGATAAATGATTTGTCTCCAGAATACTTCAAGAATCCTTATAACTCAGTGTCATGAAAACGTGAGCAAAAGATTTGAACAGATGCTTCACAAAGAAGATACTCATTTGGCCAATAAGCACATCAAAGGTGCACAGCATCATTAGTCACAAGGGAAATGTAAGTCATAACCACAATGAGATACCTCTTTGGACTCATTAGTGATTATTTGGTGTGGCAGGATTGTGGGGTTTTTTTTTTTGTGTGTCTTTTCTGTATTTTCAAAGTTTTTGAATTTAACATGTATTACCTTTGTAAATAAAAAGCATTCTAGGCCAGGCATGGTGGCTCACGCCTGTAATACTAGCACTTTGGGAGGCCAGGGTAGTAGGATTGCTTGTGTCCAGGAGTTTGAGACCAGCCTGGGCAACATGGCAAAACCCTGTCTATACAAAAATTAGAAAAAAAAAATTTGCTAGGTGTGGCAGTAAGTGCCTGTAGTCTCAGCTACTTGGGATGCTGAGGTGGAAAAATCACTTGAGCCCAGGAGGTCAAGGCTGCAGTGAGCGAAGATCACGCCACTGCACTCCAGCGTGGGTAACACAGTGAGACTCTATCTCACACAAAAAAAGTATTCAAAAAAGGTAAAAGCAGTTTAATTAGTTTCTAATGGTGTAGAACAGCAATCCCCAGCCTTTTTGGCACCAGGGTTTCATGGAAGACAATTTTTCCATGGATAGGGAGTGAGGGAGGGGGAATGGTTTTGGGATTAAACTGTTCCATCTCAGTTCATCAGGCGTTAAGAGTTTCATAAGGAGCATGCAACCTAGATCCCTTGCATGCACAGTTCACAGTAAAATTCACACTCCTCTGAGAATCTAATGCTGTCACTGATCTGACAGGAGATGGAGCTCAGGGGGTCATGCTTGCTCACAGCTGCTCACCTCTACTTTGCGGCCAAGTTCCTAGCAGGCCATGGACCTGTACCAGTTAGCACCCGGAGCTTGAGGACCCCCGGGTGTACAAGTACATCCAATGCTTGCTACATTTTCTTCACTGAGCTGTAAAGGTAATTATCTCATTCACTGTATACTTTTGCACAATTAGATTTTTTAACGCTAGAAAACAGTATGTTCACTTTTCAAACATAAATAGGCTAATCCAGGACCACCCTCTTAAAAGTGTGGTGAATGAATTATTATTTTATTTTATTTTATTTTATTTTATTCTTTTGAGACGGAGTCTCGCTCAGTTGCCCAGGCTGGAGTGCAGTGGCGTGATCTTGGCTCACTACAGCCTCTGCAACCTCTGCCTCCTGGGTTCAAGCTATTTTCATGCCTCAGCCTCCTGAGTAGCTGGGTTTCCAGACATGCACCCCCATGCCTGGCTAATTTTTCGATTTTTTTTTTTTTTTAGTAGAGATGGGTTTTGCCATGTTGGCTAGGCTGGTCTTGAACTCCTGGCCTCAGATGACCCACCGTCCTTGGCCTTCCAAAGTGCTGGGATTACAGACATGAGCCACCACTCCCAGCCAGATGAATAATTTTGCTTTGTTTTGTTTGAAACAGAATCTCACTCTGTCACCCAGGCTGGAGTGCAGTGTCACGATCTCAGCTCACTGCAACATCTACCTCCCGGGTTCAAGTGATTCTCATACCTCAGCCTCCTGAGTAGCTGGGATTACAGGCATGCACCACCATGCCTGGCTAATTGTTTTGTATTTTTCAGTAGAGATAGGGTTTCACCACGTTGCCCAGGCTGGTCTCAAACTCCTGGCCTCAGGTGATCCGCCCACCTCAGCCTCCCAAAGTGCTGGGATTACAGGCGTGAGCCACCACACCCAGCCAGGATGAATGATTTTAGATACTGTCTAGCAAGCCCTGCTCATTTTTTCCTATCAGGACTACTCTCAGTAGCCCTGAGTCCAGCGACCCACAAATCTAGAGCATCAGTGGATGGTGGGGGTACACCCTCCTGCCTAGCTTCTGGAGGCTTCTCTCTGTAGCACTGAGGAAGTCTGGAATTTTCAGTCCTCCACTAGAGCTGGGAGTAGCAGAGAGAGAGAGAGCCAGTGTGTCAGGCAGGGGTGAAGAACATGCATCCGAAGGCTGAGATGTAGACTGCCGACTTGGAACAAGAGGAGGAGGTAGCCATATCTTAGCAACCTGGTAAATGACTGCTACCTTGGGGATGTTAGTATCATAATCTGGGAAACTGCCCAAATACTGGAATACAAATGCAAGGAGTGCAAAAAGTATGACGAGACTGAGCGTGGTGGCTCATGCCTGTAATCCCAGCACTTTGGGAGGCTGAAGCGGGCAGATTGCTTTACACGAGGAGTTTGAGACCAGCCTGGCCAACAAGGCAAAAACCTGTCTCTACTAAAAATTACAAAAATTAGTCAGGCATGGTGGCACATGCCTGTAATCCCAGCTACTCGGGAGGCTGAGGCAGGAGAATCGCTTGAACCTGGGAGATGGAGATTGCAGTGAACTGAGATCATGCCACTGCACTCCAGCCTGGGTGACAGAGTTAGACTCTGTCTCAAAAAAAAAAAGCATGACTAATTCCCCTAAAGAAGTAACTTTATCATTAACTGACTCCTTGTACATGATTTTCATTTGTCATAGGCATCTGAAACATGTTCCCTCTTCCCTATGCCATGCCTCCGCAAATAACACAGTTATCAAACCTATTTGAAATTCTTTCTGCTTCTTGCCAAATATCTCTAGTTGTTTCAAATGTTAATTTTAGAACAGGATTTCAGACTCCTTGAGAGTCAATCTGTCCTCCAGCATTTAGTTTATTCTACCAAAGCCTCTTTTACATAGAGTATCTGAATTATTAGTCCAATTTTAAGGGGTGAGGATGGGGAATTATATATATTTGTATACTTATAAATATTTGTATTTATATACTTACATATAAATATATGTATTTATATAATATTGTATATAAATGTATTTATATAATATATGTAAATATATGTAACTTATATTTATAAATGATATATTTATATATGTATATGTAATATCATGTATAATATATACTTGTTATATATAAATTATAATAATATACATAATATAAATATAGATATGGCAGAGGATAATAGGCACAATGTACTTCTATTTCCTAAAGGAGGTAGTCAAGAAGATTTAACCCTCCTGGCCAGGCACTGTGGCTTACACCTGTAATCCCAGCACTTTGGGAGGCTGAGGTGGGCAGATCACCTGAGGTCAAGAGTTCGAGACCAGCCTGGCCAACATGGTGATATCCCATCTCGACAAAAATACAAAAATTAGCCGGGCGTGGTGTCAAACATCTGTAAGCACAGCTGCTCGGGAGGCTGAAGCAGGAGAATGGCGTGAACCCGGGAGGCAGCGGCTGCAGTGAGCCAAGATCACGCCATTGCACTCCAGCCTGGGCGACAAGAGTGAAACTGTGTCAAAAAAAAAAAAAAAAAAAGCCCGTGCATAGTGGTGCGCACCTGTAATCCCAGCTACTTGGGAGACTGAGGCAGGAGAATCGCTTGAACCCAGGAGGTGGAGGTTGCAGTGAGCTGAGATTGCAGCCACTGCTCTCCAGCCTGGGTGACAAAGTGAGAATCCGTCTCAAAAAAAAAAAAAAAAAAAAATTGACCCCTCTTTATTAAGGCATATTAGGAAGCTGCCTGCCTGATTTGGCCCAGTGACTTCCCTGCCACTAAATATGTAAGCAGAAGACTAACAGAATTCCAGAATAATTATTTTTGGAGTTATGAGTTACAGGCCTCTAGGAAGAAAAGTATCGTGACTTTTTCCTTCCCTCCGCATTAAACTGGGAGTTAAAAGCATGAGTAGCTACATATGCTTAAAGTCACAGAATAGTTAGTGCCATGTGGTACTTCACAGATGGCATCTCAGCTGATATTCACAACAACCCTGGGGCAACTTGGGGAACCATCATTGCACTGCTAAGAAGCTAAGGTGACTTGTATTAGTCACAGGAAGGAACCCAGACTTGAACTCAGGTCTACTTGGCTCCAGAGCTCTGGGCATTTCCACTTTACCACACTCCTAGGATAATAAGCGTTGGGAGAGACTGGGAGGAAGAACATAAGGGCAGGGGACGTAACTGTTGGAACGTAGGATGCCGAAGTTACTAGTTAATTACCTATTTGAAATGCCCTGAAAACACCTGACTGCAAATCCACTCACAAAGGAAACTGGTGAGGCAGCCCAGAAGATGTACTTGAATGAATATGGATATAATTTTGCTTATTTTACTATGAAATACTACTGTATTAGTCTACTGTGGTTGCTGTAACAAAATATCATAAACTGGGTGGTTTAAAACAACAGAAATTTATTCTTTCACAGTTCTGAGGACCAGTCCAACATCAGTATCATGGGGCTGAAATCAGGGTGTCAGCAGGGCCACACTCCTGGGAGCTTTAGGGGAGAATCCATTTATGCCTCTTCCAGCTGCAGGTGGCTGCTGGCATCTTTTGGCTCGTAGCCGTATTACTCGAATCTCTGCATTCATGGTCTTACTGACTTCTCCTGTCAGTTTCAAATCTCCCTCTGGCTCTCTGTAATAAGGGACCATTATTAAGGGCCCACCTGGATCATCCAGAATTCTCTCCCCATCTTCAGAGCCTTAAATGGAACATATCTGGAAAGACACAATATTTACAGTTCCCAGGGATTAGGATTTGGGATATTTGGGTAGCCACTATTCAGCCTACTACAACCATATTTCTACATTTTCCCTTTTTATTCTATATTACATCATTTATTAGTACAAAAGTAATAGGTGTTTGCTATGAAGAATTAGAATATACAGGTTGGGCATGGTGGCTCCCGCCTGTAATCCCATTACTTTAGGAGGACAACACAGGTGGATCACTGGAGACCAAGAGCTCAAGACCAGCTTGGCCAACATAGCAAAACCCTGTCTCTACTAAAAATACAAAAAATTAGCCATGGTGGTGGCCCACACCTGAAATCCCAGCTACTTGAGAGGCTGAGGCACAAGAATTGCTTGAGCCTGGGAGGCAGAGGTTGCAGTGAGCCAAGATTGAGCCACTGCACTCCACTCCAGCCTGGGCAACAGAACGAGACTCTGTCTCAAATAAATAAATAAATAAATAAATAAACAAATAAAATAAAAAATAAATAAGTTGATAAATAAAATTAGAATATACAGATAAGCCAAAGACAGAAATTTAAAATTGCTTATAATTGTATTCCCCAGCAATAAGCATCATTACTATTTTGGTGGCTGTCTTTGCAGTTTTTTCTCTTGAACATATGTTTATATATAGGTTTCATTACAATTTAAAAATCTAGCTGATAGTGTAGCCCTCAATCTCACTTCAGAGAAACCCACCTCACAAGTTGGGAAACACTGACACTGATGCCCCCTTAGAAAACCCAGGATGTAGACATTTATTTGCCGGGAAACTTTGGTATCCCTCTATGGCAGATAGGCTACTGTCAGAATGCTCTTTTTGAAATAAGAAGTTATGTAACACAAAGACATGTTCCTGGTAGTTTATGCAAAGACAGAGGAAAGAGTATGCAAGAATGTCATCCTCAAGGGAAGTGCAGAGAGATTTCTTCAGTCCTCAGCTGAGTATAAGCTGGCCTCCTGGAGTCTGTGAACACAAACGTCCAATGTGAGTGTGCCTGTGCAAGCCCCTGGCTGTTTATACTCCGGAGGGTGTCCCCGTGCGTCATCGGTGGAGTGGACCAAAACTGGTGATCTGTTTGCCCTGTGTGACCTTGCCCAGAACCCTGCTGACTGAGAGAACACATCTGCTGGAAGTCCTCTGGGATTCAAGGTACAGGGGTAAGCATGACCTTGAATGCAGTAGCAATGTGCTTTAGCCAACTAAGCTGGCTCATTTCATTTACCGCTCTATCTCCCATGGTTAAGCATTAAAAATACATGTTGTGGCTGGGCATGGTGGCTCACGCCTGTAATCCCAGCACTTTGGGAGGCTGAGGCTGGCAGATTGCCTGAGGTCAGGAGTTCGAGACCAGCCTGGCCAACATGGTGAAATTCTGTCTCTACTAAAAATACAAAAATTAGCCGGGCATGGTGGTGCACGCCTGTAGTCTTAGCTACTGGGAGGACTGAGGCGGGAGGAACGCTTGAACCCGGGAGGCAGAGGTTGCAGTGAGCTGAGATTGTGCCACTGCCCTCCAGCTTGGGTGACAGAACAAGACTCTGTCTCAAAAAAAAGAAAAAAGAAAGAAAAAGAAAAAAAATATATGTTGGATGTTCAGAAGACTTTGTTTCATTTTAAGGTATAGAATAAGTAACTCAACAGCAATGAATTCATATGTTGTGAACAAACAGGAAACAAATGAGTAATTCCTTTCTTGACGGAATTTCTAGCTCTTGCATCTTTTACTCTGAAGTTCTACTTCTTCCCCGGCTACTCCTGCCTACACCCATCTTCCCTTTCTGAACTGGTAGTACTTGTGTCCAAACCACTCTTACTGTGCTTTGAAAAAAAAAAAAGGAACTGCTCAGCAGTTCCCCTCTCTGTACACTGTCCTCTCACAGAACAAGAAGGTATCTGGTCTACAAGAACTCGAGGCCTCACTGAAACGGAAAGCAAATACAAAGAAACTTTATTTTAAAAACATGTCTTGGTCTCCCAAGAAGAGGGCAATTGGATTGCTCAGCCAGGTACTGTGGGTAGAGAGAATGGGATTTTTAAGGTCTGGGGCCCAAATATTAAAATCTGGGTTTACATTCATTTAAAGCTTGTGTCTGGGATGTACAAAAGCCTTAACATTGACGAGTGTGATTTGCATGCCTGGCTGGATTTGCCTGCCGAGAAACCTTTAGGGGTGGTTAATCGGGTCTGCTGGGGCTTCATCAGGTTCAAGGGGTACATGTACCCCTTGGACTACTGTGAGATGGAAAGGACTTTGGAAACACTTTTTGGCATTACAGAAAGGAAACTCACTCTTTTTTTTTTTTTTTTTTTGAGACAGAGTCTTGCTCTGTCACCCAGGCTGGACTGCAGTGGCGTGATCTCGGCTCACTGCAACCTCTGCCTCCTGGGTTCAAGCAATTCTCCTGCCTCAGCCTCCCAAGTAGCTGGGATTACAGGCACCCGGCACCGCGCCCCAGCTAATTTTTGTATTTTTAGTAGAGACAGGGTTTCACCATGTTGGCCAGACTGGTCTCAACTCCTGACCTCGTGATCTGCCCACCTCAGCCTCCCAAAGTGCTGGGATTACAGGTGTGAGCCAACGTGCCCGGCCAGGAAACTCACTCTTGTTGCTAAGACTGTTGTTAGAATCACAGATGATCAAAGCTGAAAGGAACGAGGTGGACTACTTAGTCCATCCAATCTCCCAAGTTACTGATGAGAAACCTGATATTTGGAGACAGAAGTGAAGGAAATCACCCTTTACGGGACACCTATTTCGTGATAGGGTCTTTATGTACATTATCTCAGTAGATCCTTGCAGCCTGGCTTTGAGAGGTGGAAAATGTGGTAGAGAGGAGTTAAATGTCCTGCCCTACATCACACTGCTAATTGTCTACAAAACTAGGATAGAACCTGGTCAGCACACTTCTTAACTGTTCACACACTTTTATAATATTAGTCGTATTAATGTGTTTAAAATACCATAGACTGGGTGGCTTAAACAACAGAAATTTATATTCCCACAGTTCTGGAGGCTGCAAGTCCAAGACCAAGGTGTCAGCAGGGTTGGCTTCTCCCCACGCCTCCCTCCTTGGCCTTTTCTCTCTGTATGCACATTCCTGGTATCTCCCTTTGTGTGTCCCGATTTCCTCTTCTCATAACAGCCTCATTTGAGCTTAATGACCTCTTTAAAGGCTCTGTCTGCAAATACAGTCACATTCTGAGGTTCAGGGCTTCAACATATGGATTTGGGGGAAGCCCAGTTCAGCACATAACACTAATATTAACATGTGAGATTGCTGAAGCCTATTAAAGACCTAAGAACATTCTAGTCTAGAGCCTTTTTACTAGAAAGGAAGACAGATAATACCCACTGACCATCTTTGTCACAACTACTTTCATGTTTAATCTTCACAATAGTCCAGGGAGGTGAATATTATGCATGATTTGGAAAGCAAGATTCGGAAAGGCTAAGTAACATGTCTAGGGATACTTACCTCATAAGGTGCAGAGTGAGGATTTGAATTCAGATCTGCAATGCCAAAGCCCACACACATTTTCCATTTCTGTGTGCTTCCTGTCTGCTCCTAATTATATGTACTCTTTCCCTTATTTTATCTGTGAGGTGTGGGAATGACCCCATAGACGTGGGTTATATGGGTCCAGAGAAACTTCAGTTCTCTGAGGAGCTCATGTAACCTTTTTTAAGAAAATGCCAATTTTAGAATTAGTACTAAATATTATTTTCCAGCTGGGCATGGTGGCTTATGCCTGTAATCCCAGCACTTTGGGAGGCCGAGGCAGGCAGATTGCCTATATATATATAATATATATTATTATATTATTTTCCAATGTACAAATGTGGGGGAAGGACTTCTTCCACCCAATTCAGTTATTCACTGGACAGCTTGCGGGGAGGGGTTGCAGGGCCATAGCTACATTCCAAGAGAGTACACTGGTCTCAGTCCTATTCTTTTTTTTTTTTGTCTGAGACAGAGTCTCTCTCTGTCACCCAGGCTGGAGTGCAATGGTGCTATCTTGGCTCACTGAAACCTCCACCTCCTGGGTTCAAGAAACTCTCCTGTCCCAGCTTCCCAAGTAGCTGGGATTACAGGTGTGCACCTCCACGCCTGGCTAATTTCTTGTACTTTTAGCAGAGATGGGGTTTCACCATGTTGGCCAGGCTGGTCTCAAACTCCTGACTTCAGGTGATCCACCCTCCTCAGTCTCCCCAAGCACTGGGATTACAAGCGTGAACCACCACGCCTGGTCCACAGCCCTATTCTTTATGCCAGTGGGTAACTGAGAAAAATTACATGATCTTCAGTATATGGATTGATTTTGTTCTTGAGAGCAATTAAAAACTTTATACATCTTAGCTCCTTCCTCTATCTTCTTCCTCTTTTTCTACTCTGACTTAAACTTTGACCCAGTCAGGGATGGTGTGATTCTTCCCAAACCCACCCCTTTTTGGGGAAGTAGAAAGGGAGAGAAGAATCTACAGTTGCCGCCATTCACTGAGTCCTTCCTGTGTGCCAGTCATTACCCCTTGATTGAGGACTCTTAGTGTGTCAGTGGTAGAGCTGTAGTTTGAACGCAATCCTGACACCAAAATGTGCCCTTGCTTAAGCTCCTGAGCTGCCCCAATTTCTTTTCTTTTCTTTCTTTCTTTTTTTCTTTTTTTTGACCCAGAGTCTCGCTCTGTCACCAGGCTGGAGTGCAGTGGCGCAATCTCGGCTCACTGCAACCTCCGCCTCCCTGGTTCAAGTGATTCTCCTGCCTCAGCCTCCCGAGTAGCTGGGAGTACAGGCGCCTGCCACCACGCCTGGCTAATTCTTGTATTTTTAGTAGAGACGGGGTTTCACCATGTTGGCCAGGATGGTCTCGATCTCTTGACCTCGTGATCCACCTGCCTCAGCCTCCCAAAGTGCTAGGATTACAGGCGTGAGCCACCGCGCCTGGCTGCTCCAATTTCAATGACAATTTTTTATATTGTTAATGAATCAGTTTTAACATAAAAGGGAAACTTTATTTTCTGAAAATAGATATGCTTTTGAAGCAGCATCATTGGGGTAAATACCTGATGTTCGTTGTCTCACGCCAAAGGAATCGAGGACACAGACACACAAGAAGTGAGTTTGAGAGTGGAGTTTTAGGCCGGGCATGGTGGCTCACGCCTGTAATCCCAGCACTTTGGGAGGCCGAGGCAGGCAGATCACAAGATCAGGAGGTTGAGACCATCCTGGCCAACATGGTGAAACCCCATCTCTACTAAAAATACAAAAATTAGCTGGGTGAGGAGGCATGCACCTGTAATCCCAGCTACTCGGGAGGCTGAGGCAGGAGAATCGCTTGAACCCAGATGGCAGAGGTTGCAGTGAGCTGAGGTCGCACCACTGCACTCCAGCCTGGCTACAGAGCGAGGCTCCATCTCAAAAAAAAACAAAAGGGGGGAGGCTTAATAGGCGAAAGAAAGAGAAAAGAGAATAGCTCTCTCTCCTGCAGAGAGAGAGGGGAACCTGAGTGAGTGGTTTTGTGGTGAAATACATGGTGTTGTTGTTGTTGTTGTTTTCAGATGGAGTCTCGCTCTGTCGCCCAGGCTGGAGTGCAGTGCTGCGATCTCGGCTCACTGCAAGCTCCGCCCCCCGGGTTCACGCCATTCTCCTGCCTCAGCCTCCCGATTAGCTGGGACTACAGGCGCCCACCACCACGCCTGGCTAAATTTTTGAATTTTTTAGTAGAGACAGGGTTTCACCTTGTTAGCCAGGATGGTCTCGATCTCCTGACTTTGTGATCCGCCTGCCTCAGCCTCCCAAAGTGCTGGGATTACAGGCGTGAGCCACTGCACCCAGCCAATGCATGGGGTTTTATAGATGAACTTGAGAAGGTGGTGTCTGATATACATAGGGACTGAGAGATTGGTCAGAACCGGTATAACGTTTGCATAGCGCACGAAGAAGCCGGCCATTCCACCCTTATGTTTTATTATGCAGATGGGGTCTCTATCTGGCCGGCACTATGTTGTCTGTTCCTACTGTACACATGGTTGAAAAAGAAAAGGGAAGATGGATCCGCCATGTTGAATATGCCTGGCCCCCAGGTGGCTTTTTTCTATGGGCACAGCTACTGGCATTTACCAATGCAAGCTTTTAGCTTATCTATACTTGCAGCTTGATTTTTCAGGCTGCTTTTTATTAGAAAAGATATGATTTGGGGGCTTTTTGAATGAAAGGAAACTTTATCTAGGACTTTCTTATCCTCACTTATCACTCTCACAACAGCAACATTCACAGCAAACTTGCCATGGCTGTGAGCATCTAGTTTAAGCTGAGGAGATCCTTATTCAAAGAGCTTGTGAAATTAGAAAGATCAGAGTCAAAGTAAGCTATTCTTAGAGAAGTTTTTGTGGGGAAGGACCCCCTTGTACAAAAGTATTCATTGTTCTGTATTTATGATAGCCCCAATCTGAAAACAACCCAATCCATCAACAGGAGAATAGATAAATAAACTCTAGTTTTTTTTTTTTCGTTGTTTTTTTTTTTTTTTTTTTTGTCGTTGCCCAGGCTGGAGTGTGGTGGCACGATCTTGGCTCACTGCAACCTCCGCTTCCTGGGTTCAAGTGATTCTCCTGCCTCAGCCTCCCAAGTAGCTGGAATTACAGGCATGAGCCACCATGCCCGGGTAATTTTTGTATTTTTAGTAGAGACAGGGTTTCGCCATGTTGGCCAGGCTGGTCTTGAACTCCTGACCTCAGGTGATCCGCCCACCTCGGCCTCCCAATATGCTGGGATTACAGGCGTGAGCCACCGTGCCCGGCCAATACACTCTAGTATTTTATACAGTACAATACTACTAAGCAATGAAATGTTACAAACTACTTATACTGCAAGCAACAGCATGAGTGACTTACACAGACATTGTGTGGAATGAAAGGAGTAGCACATACTGTATGATTCCGTTTATGTGAAGTTCTTCAACAGGCTAATTTACGGTTTAAAAAAATCAGAAGAGTGATTTTCTTTGAGGGTGTGGCAGAGATGGAATTTGACTGGGAAGGGGCATAGGATACTAAGGAGAGGGTAATGTTTTCTGTCTTGATAGGTGTTTGAGGTAGAAGCATTTTTCAGCTCATCAAAGGGTACAGTTAAGATCTCTGCTTTCACTGTAGGTGAATTTTTCCTAAGAAAGAATAATAAACCAATATTGAATTCTAGTTAATTATATGAACATAGAAGTGTACTAACGTCTGCAACTTACATTGAATATGCAAGAAAATAAGTAAAATAGATTGATAAATGAATAGAGGGATGGATTTTCTCTATGTTTGAAAATGTTCATAATAAAATGTTAGGGTAATGGCCAGACGCGGTGGCTCATTCTTGTGATCTCAGCATTTTGGGAGACTGAGGCAGACAGATCACTTTAGCCCAGGAGTTTGAGACCAGCCTGGGCAACACGGCAAAACTCTGTCTCTAAAAAAAAAAAAAAAAAAAAAAAAAAAATTAGCCAGGCATGGTGGCACACACCTGCGGTCCCAGTTACTCAGGAGGCTGAGGTGGGAAGATCACCTGAGCCCAGAAGGTTAAGGATGCCGTGAGCCATGATGGGGCCACTGCACTCCAACCTGGGTGACAGAGTGAGACCCTGTCTCAAAAAAAGAGTTTTAATGTTAGGATAACATGAGTTCCCATGCCAACCCCATCCACATGAGTTCCCAAGCCAACTCCATTCACATACCACAATCACACTCACATAGCTCCCATTTTGTTTCTCTCCACCCAGTGATTCTAGTTCTCTTCCCCACTTCCTGTCTGCCCTCTCATGCTGTCTTTAATTCAGACTTTGCATCTTCATCCTGATGCAGGGGGTCGTGTATGTGTGTATGAGGAGCCGGGGTAGATCATCTAACTTGGTTTGGGAATGCACACAGAGCAGTCTCAGAGGCTTCTGGGCCCCTGCTTTTCAGAGTGTGTGGAGGAGGAAGGGAGAAAGGAAGTTGCTTTTAAAGCAACTAGGAGGATGAAATGACAGGACCATACCAGGAAATTGAAATCCGTTTCTTATCTTAAAACATCACTTTAAACATACTCCTTATACCATAATCTCTCCCAGTTGCTCATAGGATAAAGAACAAATGCCTCATCTTGGCGTACAAGGCTTTCCATAGCTTTTCCCCTTTGTACCCTGGAAGCATAACTCCTTTTTTCTGTCTCCTCAATTACTCATATTGATAGGGAAGGGGGGAAGGGAAGTGCTGGGAAGAGAAGGGCGCGTCCCTGGCAAGGGCTCCACCCCCAGGCCTGTGCCCACGGACCTAGGTGAGGACAGGCACTCCTGCCTTGGCGCCCAAATGTTGCATTTCCCAAGGCCACCCTGGCCTGCCACACCGTCATCCTATGCTTATAAAAATCCCAGAGACCCTTGCAGGCAGACACACAAGCGGCTGGACGTCGAGAGGAACACATCGGCGGAAGAACATACAAGCAGCTGGACGTCCAGAGGACGTTGAAGGGAGAATGCTGGCGGAAGAGCACACAACAGACATCGGCACGCCAGCAGGCCATCCACCAGAGGAACGACTCGGAGTTTGGCCTGGAGGGTTGGAGAAGAGTTGGTGGCGGTCTTACTCCGGGGAAAAACCATCTCCCTTCTGGCTACCCCATCTGCTGAGAGCTTCTTCCACTCAATGAAACCTTGCGCTCATTCTCCAAGACCACGTGTGATCCAATTCCTCCGGTACACCAAGGCAAGAACCCCGGAATACAGAAAGCCCTCTGTCCTTGCAATAAGGCAGGGGTCCCATTGAGCTAATACAAGACGCCTACGGACAGCTGAACTAAAAGAGCACCCTGTAACACACACCCACTGGGGCTTCAGGAGCTGTAAACATTCACCACTAGACACTGCCGTGGGATTGGAACCCCACAGCCCGCCCATCTGTATGATCCCCTAGAGGTCTGAGCAGCGGGCACTGAAGAAGTGAGCCACACCCCCATCGCAAGCCCTGCGAAGGGGACAAGAGAACTTTTCCCCTTTCCATACTCCCTGATCTCATCCTCTCACCTGCAAGGCGTTTTACATCCTCATCTCCACCTCCACCCCAGCCCAACTACCTGGCCTCATCTTACTTATCCTTTTTTTTTTTTTTTTTTCTTTTTGAGGCAGAGTCTCGCTCTGTCTGCCAGGCTGGGATGCAGTGGCACGATCTCGGCTCACTGCAACCTCCGTCTCCCGGGCTCAAGTGACTCTCCTGCCTCAGCCTCCGGAACAGCTGGGACTACAGGCGTGTGCCACCACGCCCCGCTAATTTTTGTATTTTTAATAGAGACAGGATTCACCATGTTGGTCAGGCTGGTCTCGAACTCCTTACCTCACGTGATCCGCCTGCCTCGGCCTCCCAAAGTGTTGGGATTACAGGCGTGAGCCACCGCGCCCAGCCCTACTTATCCTTTAAGACCTGGTTCATGTGCTGTCTCCTCCATGAAAACTTCCTCCCTGGATGATTCCAGTCCATATACTCTTTCCTGGAAATACTGGAGAGAACGTACCCTCTGCACCATTCATGTTGACACTTATACCGTCTTTTGACATTTAATTCCATGTTGCCTTCTTGGCTCTGAACAGCAGAAATGAGAAGAAACTTTGAAGAGAAGGGCAAAGTTCCAGCTGAACATAGTTTAGAGCTCTAGGCAAGGAGTCCAGCCGCCTGGGTTCTCTTTAGGGCCTGGCCATGAATAGCCAGGGGCTTTGAGCGAGTTTTTTTCTGGTTTGGGTCACCATTTTCTCATCTATGAAAAGCGGGGCATTACCTAGATAATTGCATCAGCCCCTCCACCTGATAGTCTCTGGTTCTGTTTTGTTTGTTTTACAGAATGAAGAGTAGTTTTACAGAAAAAAGAGGACAATATTGGGATCACCTTTGACCTTTCCATTTGGAAATAATATTTTCTATTGTGTTATAGAAAGGTGGGAAGCTTTCATCCAGAACAAGTAAGTATATGAGAAATAACATCTGCCTGGTTATACAGTCTGCTACCAAATACTGGTGATTTTAAATGGAAAATCAGTTCATGGCTTCCTCTGACCAGTCATATGTGGAATTACCAATAAATATTCTTCTGTTGTTTTAGGAATTCAGTTACAAATATGGTAACCTGTGATAAAAGGCAGAACCACAGATAGGATAGGACTTACACAAAGAGTGACCAGGTGTATGTTTTAAACTGTTAGTTCTCATCACCTGTTCAGCCAGACAGCAGAGAGCTATACATGTCAAGCTCATTGTGAAGAAACATGGTATAGATCTAAGTGGCAACCAAAATGTAGCTCCTTCCACTTTAAATGGCTGGGTGTAGACCTGCACTATCTAGTATATTAATAGTAGCCACTAGCCCTCTGTAGCTATTTAAAGGTGAATTTAAATAAAATAAAATGTAAACTTCAGTTGCACAGTCACTGTAGCCAGATTTCAAGCACTCAGTAGTCACATGTGGCTAATGACTACCATATTGTATAATGCAGATATAGAACATGTTCATTATCACAGAAAGTTCTATTGAAAAGCATTGGTCTAGACAAAGAGATATTCTGAAAAGAATGAATAATTAATGAATAAATGAGCAGCATTTTTTCCAC